>NW_025791783.1:0-39290 GCF_000001405.40 Homo sapiens
ATAGCTCACTGCAGCCTTGAACTCCTGGGCTCAAGTGATCCTCCCCACTCAGCCTCCCAAGGAGGTGGGACTACAAGTGTTCATCATCATGGCCAGACAATTTATTTATTTTCTTTTTTTATCCTTCACTTTAGAGAATTTTAAAATGTTTTATAGGGATGGGGTCTTGCTATATTTCCCAGGCTGGTCTAGAACCCCTGGGCTCAAAAAACCCTCCCACCTCAGCCTCCCAAAGTGCTCAGATTATTGACATGAGCCACTGTGCCTGGGCCTTCTTTGGTTTTAATTGAGCATTTTGTATGATTCTAGTTTTTTCCTTTCATCACATTAAGTATACATTTTTTTACTTATTTTGTATTATTAGTAGCCCTTGAGTTTGCAGTGTACATTTACAACTAATCTGAGTCTTTTTTCAAATAGTGCTATACTACTTCCCAGATAGTACAATTACCTTATAACAGAGTATTCCCAATTCTTTTCTCTCATCCCTTATAACATTGCTATCAGCTAGGTGCAGTGGCTCACGTCTGTAATCCCAACACTTTGGGAGGTCCAGGCAGTTGCTTGAGCCCAGGAGTTCCAGAGCAGCCTGGGCAACAAAATTAGCCAAGTATATTGGCACATGCCTGTAGTCCCAGCTACTCAGGAGGCTGAGGCAGGAGGATCACTTGAGCCTGGGAGGTGGAGATTGCAGTGAGTCATGATCGTGCCACTGCTCTCCAGCCTGGGCAACAGAGTGGGACTCTGTCTCAAACAACAAACAAAAAACTCCACTTTGCTATCATTCATTTCACTACAATCACCAAATACATTGCTATTATTAATTCAAACAAACTGTTATCCATTAGATAATTGAGAATAAGAAAACTAAAATATTTTATTTACCTTTATTGATTTTGCCTCTAATGCTCTTCCTTTCTTTATGTAGATACTAGTTTCTGATTTATCATTTCCCCCTCTCTGAAGAAGTTATTTTAATAGTTCTTGCAAGGTTAGATCTACGGGCAATAAATTCCCTCAATTTTTGTCTGAGAGAGTTTTTATTTCTCCTTCATTTTTGAAAGATAATGCCACTTTATACAGAATCGGGGCTGGTGTTACTTTTAACATTTTTTGGAAGATAAAACTGATATAATGCTTACCCTTGCTTAGTTTTTTTCTTTCTTGCCTTTTTTTTTGAATGGAGTTTTTCTCTTGTTGGCCAGGCTGGAGTGCAATGGTGCAGTCTCGGGTCACTGCAACCTCTGCCTCCCAGGCTCAAGCAATTCTCCTGCCTCAGGCCTCCCAAGTAGCTGGGAATACAGGCATGCATCACGACACCCGGCTAATTTTTGTATTTTTAGTAGAGACGGGTTTTCACCATGTTGGTCAGGCTGGTCTGGAACTCCTGACCTCAGGTGATCCACCCGCCTTGGCATCCCAAAGCACTGGGATTGCGGGCATGAGCAACCGTGTCTGGCCCTCCGGCTTCTTTGAAGATTTTTTTTGTTCTTCATTTTCTGCAGTTTGAATATGGTATGTTTGTGTATAGAATTTTGGTATTTATCTTGCTGGTGTTGTCTGTACTTTCTGGAACTGTGGTTTGGTGCATGTTATTAATTTTGCAAAATTTTATTACAATTGGCTCAAATATTTCTTCTGTTCCTTTCCTTCATTCTTCTTCTGGTATTCCCAATATGCATATGTTACACCTTTTGCAGTTGTCCCACAGTTCTTGGATGTTCTGTTTCATCCTTTTTATTCTTTTTTTCTCTTAGCATTTCTATTTTGAAAGTTTCTACTGACATGTCTTCAGGATCATTGATTCTTTCTTCAGTTGTGTCCAGTCCTTTTGTTGTTGTTGTTTTGAGATGGAGTCTTGTTCTGTTGCCCAGGCTGGCTCACTGTAACCTCTGCCTCCTGGGTTCAAATGATTCTCCTACCTCAGACTCCCGAGTAGCTGGGACTACAGGTGTGTGCCACCATGCCCGGCTAATTTTTGAATTTTTAGTAGAGATGGTGTTTCACCATTTTGGCCAGACTGGTCTCAAACTCCTGACCTCAAGTGATCCACCCACCTTGGTTTCCCAAAGTGCTGGGATTACAGGTGGCAGTCTTTATTTCTGTCATGATGTTTTTGATTTCTAGCATTTTCTTTTGATTCTTTCTTAGTGTTTCCATTTCTCTGCTTATATTACCTATCTGTTCTTGCATATTGTTCTCACTTTCCATTAAAACCCTTTGCATATTAATCATAGTCTTAAAAATTCAAGGTCTGATATTTCCAACATCTCTGCCATAAGCTCAGTTTGGTTCTTATGCTTGCTTTTTCTTTTCAAATTCTATATTTTTTGTGTGTCTAGAACGTGTGGTAACATTTTATTGAAAGTGAGATACGATGCACTGGTTAAAAGGAACTGATAGTTAGGCCTTTAGTGTGAGGTTTTTATCTGGCCCGCGGTTAGGCTGCGTTTTCTGTTTGCTGCAGCTGTCAGTATCAGAGGCTAAAATGTCTCCAGCGTCCTTGTTTTGGTCTCCCTTGTTGCCTTTGGGTTATCCTAGAGACTTCTTGAAGTTTGAGACACACAGTTCTTTCAGTTATATTCTCCCCTAACTATTCAGGATCTCTAGTGCTGGGGTAAGATATGAAGGGAGGGGAAACATCACATAATCTTATGAGTATGTCTCAGTCTTTCAGTGAAATTGTGACCCTCACAAGTGCTTCTGAGTTTTGTATTGGTTTATCCCCCTTAGATGAGACAGAAAGGCTAGAGCAGGTTGGAGTTGGGTATTTCCCTTTCCCCAGGTCAGTTTGTCTCTGGTAAAACCTCAGCAGGTTAGGCTCTGGTAAAATAGTTTCTCCTGAGGTTGGGCTTTATGAAGAACCATACGCTCTGGGCATATTTCAGAATGGCTAATTTCCCCCTCCCACTGCTGGAAGCATGAAGGGATTTTTTTTCTTAGATCTTCACTGTGAGAACCTGTTATGGCTTCAGGAGGTAAAGCTCATGAAAGTGTGTGGGTTCCGTTAAAACTGGGCCATACTGGCATTTTTACTGTCAGTGTGCGTGAGCACTCAGCAGGCACTAGGCTCAGTGACGGGGTCAGTTCTGTGCCTTAGCTTCCTCCTGTGTGTTCTTTCCCTAAGCAGTCCCATGGGGCTGAGACACAGCATCCATAACCCTGATGAAGTGTCATCATTGACCATCTACAAACACTGGGCCCTGAATGGAGCTTAGTTAAACTGCCTTCATCTACTACCTAGCTGTACCAGGGACCACTATTTAAGAGACATGAAAAGAAATCCAGAATCCCCAAGTGTCTGTATTGCCTGGGGGTGATCATGGACTGTTATTGACCTCTTGGTGTTTGGAAGGCTGCTTTTAGATACTCCTGAATCTGTTTGCCACATAACTACATGTATTACATATTTCATTTGATTACTTTCTTAGTTATGGTTTTCTTTTCTTCTTTTTGGAGATGGAGTTTTGCTCTTGTTGCCCAGGCTGGAGTACAATGGTGCAATCTCAGCTTACTGCAACCTCCACCTCCCGGGCTCAAGTGATTCTCCTGCCTCAGCCTCCCAAGTGGTGGGGATTACAGGCATGTGCCACCACACCTGGCTAATTTTGTATTTTTTGTAGAGACAGAGTTTCACCATGTTGGCCAGGCTGGTCTCGATCTCCTGACCTCAGGTGATCCACCTGCCTCGGCCTCCCAAAGTGCTGAGATTACACGTGTGAGCCACCACGCCTGGCTAGTTATGGTTTTCTATGCTTTTTTCTTGATTGTTTCAGATTCTGAGACCCAGCTAACTACAAACATGGAAGTTTTTAAATAAATAGAGCCACTTGAGGCCCAACACTGTGGCTTACACTTGTAATCCCAGCACTTTGGGAGGCCGAGGCAGGCTGATCATGAGGTCAGGAGATCGAGACCATCCTGGCTAACACGGTGAAACCCTGTCTCTACTAAAAATACAAAAAAAGTAGCCAGGCGTGGCAGTGTGCGCCTGTAGTCCCAGCTGCTGGGGAGGCTGAGGCAGGAGAATGGCATGAACTCAGGAGGCGGAGCTTGCAGTGAGCCAAAATCGCACCACTGCACTCCAGTCTGGGTGACAGAGCAAGACTCCATCTCAAAAAAAAAAAAAAAAAAAAAAAAAAAAAAGAAAGAGAGCCACTTGAGGTGGGAGGTGGATATTGGAAAGATTTATATGTAACATTCTGCAGGAAGCCAAGCTTGAAGAAACTTATAAAAATTAGGGAGACTGGGGGCCAGGTGTGGTGGCTCACGCCTGTAATCCCAGCACTTTGGGAGGCTGAGGCAGGTGGATCATGAGGTCAGGAGTTCGAGACCAGCCTGGACAATATGGTGAAACCCTGTCTCTACTAAAAATGCAAAAAGTAGCTGGGCACAGTGGCAGGCGCCTGTAATTCCAGCTACTCAGGAGGCTGAGGCAGGAGAATTGCTTGGACCCAGGAGGTGGAGGGTGCAGTGAGCCAAGATTGCCCCACAGCACTCTAGCCTGGGCAACAGAGCAAGACTCTATCTCAAAAAAAAAAAAAAAAGAAATTAGAGAGACTGAGAAAATCATTACAAACATCTTGCAGATGACAGATCAAATATTTTCCTTTCTTTACAAGAGAGAGATTTCCAGGCAGTGATACTGATCCATCCAAACACTCATGCAATGGAGAGAGGTCTTAAATGTAACAAATACAGGAGCTGCATGAGTCTGTGCTCAAATGCTATTATATATACTAGTGTTCCTACAGAAGAGGTGTCAGAAATGACAGGTGTGTGACCAAAATTTCAAATTAAATTCAGACTTAACGAGACATCAGAAAAGCCTCATGAGAGAGAAACCCTGTGAATGTATGTGGAAAAGCTGTTATGCAGAAATTACTCCTTATTGAACATCAGAGTATTTATCTGATAAGAAACTCTGTCAATGTAATGAACGAGAGAAAGCCTTCAGCTAGAGCTCAGTTGTAATTCACCATTAAAAAGTTCTAGGGTCGGGCGTGGTGGCTCATGCCTGTAATTCCAGCACTTTGGGAGGCCAAGGTGGGTGGAACATCTGAGGGCAGGAGTTTGAGACCAGCCTGGCCAGCATGGTGAAACTCTGTCTCTACTAAAAATACAAAAATCGGCCAGGGTTGGTGGTGGGTGCCTGTAATCCCAGCTACTCAGGAGGCTGAGGCAGCAGAATCACTTGACCTCAGAGGGAGGAGGCTGCAGTGAGCTGAGATTGTGCCACTGCACTCCATCCTGTGCTACAGAGTAATACTGTGTCAAAAAATAAATAAATAAAAGTTCTTACTGGAGAGAAACCTTATGAATATTATGAATGTGGGAAAGCTTTTATCCAGAAATGTATTAAGTACCAAAGATTTAATATCTCATGAATACAGAAAGTATGAGAAAACCTTTGCACAGAGCTCACACCTAATTCAGCATCAAAAAATTCAGTGGAAAGAAGTCATAAGTATGTAATTACTGTGGAAGAGCTTTCCATTCAAAATCACACCTTATTCAGCAGCAGATAATTCACAGTAGAGAAAAGGCCCGTGAATGCAATCAATGTGGAAAGCCTTCAATTGGAGCTCAGCACTTGCTAAAAATCAGATAATTAACACTGGAGTGAAACCTAATGGATGTAATGAATGTGGGAAAACTTTCATCCAGAGTTTAAATCTTATTCTGTCAGAGTTCATGCTGAGAGAAACCATATGAATGTAAATGAATGTGGAAGAGCCTTTAGTTACAGGTCACACCTTATTTCACATCATAGGATCCACACAGGAAATAAGCCATATGAATGCAAGGAATTTGGCAAAAATTCCCATCCAAATTTGTACCTTATTTGACATCAGGATATTCATCACAGAGAGAAATTACAGGAGTGTAATGAATGTGGGAAGGTGTTTGGTCAGAATCCAACCCTTGTTATACATCAGCAGATTCACATTGGAATGAAATCTGATAACTACAGTAAATGTAGGAAAGTTTTTTTGTAGATTCATAGCCCCTGCAGAACCTAAGGCAGTTCCAGGTAAAGAGAAACCCTATGGGTACAGTGAATATGGGAAGACCATACAGAATTCATACCACTTTCTGGATCAAAAAGAATCAAAGAAGAGACAAAGCCTATGAATCTCATGCATGTGCAAAAACCTTATATTATGTGTCAAAACTTATTAAGTATCAGGGTATGTAGTCTTTAATAGTTTAGAGCCTGTTCAGTAGCAGAAAATCCACTCTATCAATAAACTTTATGAACATAAATACTGTGACAAAGTCTTCAGGCTAATTTTAAGTTTAAAAAATCAGGCTTTATCATAGAAAAAAATGAGAAAAAAATAAAAGTAAAATGTGATCCAAACTTGTAATTATGTTAATGGAGACACAGTATATATAAACATATTTAGATATATGTTTTCTTTCTTTCTTTTTTCTTTTTTTTTTTTGAGACTAGGTCTTTCTCTGTCACCCAGGCTGGAGGGTGGTCGTAGAATTTTGGCTCACTGCAACATCCGCCCCTGCACCATCCCCCTTCCCACCGCTGCCCAAAGCAATCCTCCTGCCTCAGCCTCCCAAGTAGCTGGGACCACAACCGGCTAATTTTTTAAATTTTTTGTAGAGACCATGTTGCCCAGGCTGGTCTCAAACTCCTGGGCTCAGGCAATCTGCCTGCCTTGGCCTCTCAAAGTGCTGGGATTATATGCGGAGCCACTGTGCCCAGCCTGGATATCTGTTTTCTTAAACTGTGTCCTTCAAGGTCAGGGTACTTCTCTTGTTCTTTCACCGTACCCATCCCATTGCCTTATTCATTCAGCCCCTTAATAAATATTTTGGTGTGATTTGCTAACTATGGAAAAATCTTTTCTGAAGACTCATGTTTCCTGCCACAAGAGGAACCATAGAAAATATAGCACTGGAAAGGCAACAGTTCAAATCCAAGGTTATTCATGATTACATCAACCTACAATTACTGTGCAGCCCCTATGTGCCTGGTAGTGTGCCTGACAATGGCAAATCAGAGATGCAGAAACACTTGGCCTCTTTTCCTCATATCTCTCAGTCTAGTTGGGATACAAAGGTATGTAGAGACAGATAACCACATCAGTACAGTAATAGAGGTAAGAATACAGGGTTGAGTGGGGTCCCAGAGGTGGGAGAGGTCTACAGAGATGGCTCATTTTCAAAATTCTGAGAGACAATAACTGTTAACCTCAAATTGTGTTTCTATCCAAACTATCCTCCAGGAATTAGAATAAAAATAGGCATTTTCAGATGAGCAAAACCCAAAACACCATAACAGATTTCATTAAAGGAGCTTTAAAAGGATGTACATTTAAAGAAATGATATCAGAACTGAGATATAAGGAATGATGCCAGGCATGGGAGGCTGAGGTGGGAAGATTGCTTGAGCCCAGGAGTTCAAGACCAGCCTGGGCATCCTGGTGAGACCCCATCTCTACAAAAAATTACAAAATTAGCTGGTATGATGGTGCATGCCTGTGGTCCCAGCTACTTGGGAGGCTGAGGCAGGAGGGAGGATCAGTTGAGCCCAGGACAACCTAGGTGACAGAGTGAGACATGGACTCTAAGAAAAACAAAAGTTGTATATTTGAAAACACTGACTGTAAATAGAATTAAGTCTAATATGGCAGATTTAAAAACAAAGATAGAAATGAAGTCAAGACAAAAATAGCATATGAGTCAGGAAGGTAATGGATAAAATCAGAGCATTGAAAGTGAGGCAGGATAGGTAGTCAAGGAAGTAACCATGTCCTCGGGATGCAGCAACTGTTGTGACTGTGCAATCAGCACAATAAGCCTCTGCCTTCACATTGTGGTTAAGCTCTTTCAAGCAAAACTATCTTCAGTAGAGAATTTCCCCTGCAAAGAGCATGTACATTTTGATTTTACCTGTCCTCAGACTGACCTTTCGCTCATTATAATAGTAAAAAACAGAGCCCTGGTTGGAGGTTTAAGATGCTAATAAGACATGTGACATGTACGAACAATCATATACCAGCATGTAGAACAAGCATTGTATGACAAGAAGCATTGTATGAACAAGCATGTAAGAACATACAGCTACCGCACATGTGCACTCAGAGGACCATCCAGAACATACTCACTAGTAGCACCTCTTCCCAATTCCTTATGAATAATCATGTAAGACCCCCATAAAGGGAGTCTCCCTCATGCGTCTTTGCTGCCCCAACCTTATGAGCAGCTGGCCCTCAATCCTCTCTCTCTCTCTCAGGGTGTACTGTCTATTGTTCACTTAACTTTCCAAATATTCTTTCTCCTTTGTAATAAATTACTGTATGCCGCATCTCCTTTACTGCGTGTCCCGTTTAAATTCTGCGTGTTTTTTTTTTTTTTTTTTTTTTAGATGGAGTCTCGCTCTGTCACCCAGGCTGTAGTGCAGCGGTGCGATCTTGGCTCACTGCAAGCTCCACCTCCCGGGTTCATGCCATTCTCCTGCCTCAGCCTCCCGAGTAGCTGGGACTACAAGTGCCCGCCACTATGCCCGGCTAATTTTTTGGTATTTTTTAGTAGAGACGGGGTTTCACTATGTTAGCCAGGATGGTCTCAAACTCCTAACCTCGTGATCCGCCCGCATCGGCCTCCCAAAGTGTTGGGATTACAGGCGTGAGTCACCGCGCCCGGCCAATCCGCCGAATTTTGGGAGTAATGTATCACACTGCAGTAAATAACTATCAGTGATGACCAAACTGTAACCCTTCGAGACCTTGCAGACCAGGCAGCTAACACTTCCCACCCCACCGTCTCAGGAAACACCGCTTTCCACTCCTGTGTCCCCGAAAGGAATCATCAGACATCTCGGACTCTTACCTTCTCAAGCAACACAACCCACCCTCCTGGCATAGCCCGTTGCCCCCCTGAAACCCTACTCAGCCTCACCTCAACCCCTACGCAATTCCTCTCGGTTGTCATGCCTCCATCGGCGGGGGTCGAGTGTTGTGTGTGACCCCAGGTCTCTAGCAAGGTATAGTGGGAGGGAAGCATCCAGGGGAAGAGAGGTGGTGGGATGGGGCTCTCCCTCTCCCCCATACCGCCACCCTCCCTCACGTCCATATCCTGTCCAAGGCTCTTCCCGCGTCTGCTTCTGAAACCCCTCCACGTCCCTCCACCCCATGTGCCCCACTCGTTACACAAGAGCAGAGAGATCTGCAGAACATACGTCTACGATTATGCCACTCTTCAGATTTACATCTTGCAGCGACTTCCCACTGCGTTAGAACGGAAGTAAGCCCATGACGGGGGCCCTCCCAACTCTCAGACCTCACCCGAGCCTCCACGTCCCGAGACGCCGGCCTCTCAAACGACCGCGCCCTGACCCTCGCTCTTCCCCATTTCCCAGGGTCTTTGCCGACCACCCTCTTGCGCCGTAGCTGCTCACGTGCTGTTTACTTGCTTTTCCCTCCCCACCAAAAGGTGAGCCTTGAGAAGACACACCCTCGTGGAGAGCTTTGAACTTTTATCCGGAAAGGTGCCGGGCACGTAGTCAGCGCCCGCGATCACTCGCTCACAAGGGTTCTTCCGAGACCCCTCTTCAGCCTCTTCCCCGAACCCCCAGGCCCCGCCCCAGCCCCATCTCAGCTTCGTCCCAGGCGCGTCCCAGCTTCGCCCCGTCCCAGCTTCATCCCACCCCAGCCGCGCCCCGCCCCGCCCGCTCCCCGCCCCGCCCGCGCCCCGCCCGCGCCCCGCCCCGCCCGCGCCCCGCCCGCGCCCCGCCCGCGCCCCGCCCGCGCCCCGCCCGCGCCCCGCCCGCGCCCCGCCCGCGCCCCGCCCGCGCCCCGCCCGCGCCCCGCCCGCGCCCCGCGGAACCTAGAGTCGCAGGCGCGTTCTTGAAGGACGGAATTCGGCGTCGGACTCTGCGCCCCGCGTAGTTCCGGTGGCGACTGCGGCGCATGGCGGTGAGCGGTGTGGAGAAGACGCGCGGGTGGCTGGGCCTTGCATTGTTGGCGGCTCTCGGTGACCCTCGTGCTACCCCCCTTTCTCCAGGCCCTGGGACATCTTGCTGGGGAGGCAGCGGCGGCCCCAGGCCCGGGTACTCCCTGCGCGTCCCGCGGAGCCCGGCTTCCCGGCCCAGTTTCCAGCGCCCGGAATCCTTCCACTGTCTGTCTCTGCCCAGAGCAACCTACGTGCAGTAACGCTGACTCCAGAGCGCACCCGTTGGGCGATGAAGGCGGCACAGCGTCGAAAAAACAAAAGAATAAGAAGAAAACGCGGAACAGGGCCTCTGTGGCAAATGGAGGCGAGAAGGCCTCAGAGAAACTCGCCCCAGAAGAAGTTCCCCTAAGCGCTGAGGCCCAGGCAAGGGCGGGCTTCGGTCGGGAAGGGTGGAATCCACGGGTGCGAATCCACGGGCACGTGTGATCTGGGGTCCGCGGAGTTAAGGCGGGGAGGGGCATGGGATGGGGCCGGCGGCTATGGTTTTCCAGTGCCCTCTCACAGCCACTTCCCCAAATCCATCACAGGCACAACAGTTGGCCCAGGAATTGGCTTGGTGTGTGGAGCAACTGGAGCTGGGCCTCAAGAGGCAGAAACCCACCCCGAAACAGAGTAAGGGACCCTTCTGTAGAGCTGGGGGATGTGAACAGTGGCACTGCCTGGCCTGCAGGTGCTGGCAGAGTATGGAGTTGTTGGCTTTGCGGCGGGGTGGTAGGAGGTCAGTAATAGAGGTGTTCACTAGTCCTTTATTTTTATTCGCAGAAGAGCAGGCTATTGGAGCAATCCGAACCCTGCGCAGCAAAAGAACGCCCTTGCCCCGGAAGAGGCAGCTGATGCACTCCTTGTTTGGAGACTATAGGGCTCAGATGGAAGCCGAATGGCGTGAGGCCCTGCGGGCTCTCAGAGCTGGTGAGGAGCTAGCCACTGGTTGATTCAGGAAGGCCTAACTTAAGGAGGAAGTGTCTAGGGGGTGAAAGGAAGAAGGCCCAGAGCAACAAGCCTGGTGGGGGAAGGAGATGGGCTCAGGGAAGCCTGAGGGAGCAGGGAAACAGAAAGCGTGGACCTCTCTTTCCTCTTCCTAGGACTGAACCTGGGAAGCAGCGGGGAGGCCCTGGGAGGAGTGGGAAAGAGCATGGTCCTATGTTGGTCCTGCTCCTGGGTTGGGGAAAGCTGCCTCATGTCTTTGTGTCTTGGCTTTCTCTACTAGCAATGAAGCCATATCCCATAACAGTTTGAGTGCAATTCCTGGGGCCAGATCAGCTAGGTTCAAATCCTGGATCTACCACATAGTAGTACTAACACCTTTTGCAAACTACTGAACCTCTCTAAGTGGGGGATGATAGTAATATCAACCTTACAAATTTGAGGAATTAATCAGTTAATTTATGCAAGGTGGTTAGAATTGTATGGGCAAACATAACTGTACAGGTAATGTTAATTGTTATTATTCAGTTCTGACATACGCTGCTTCTCTCCCCGACAGCTGCTTATTCAGCCCAGGTGCAACCTGTAGATGGAGCCACCAGAAAGAAGAGCCAAAGGGTCTGCAGGCCTCGCTCTATATGGAGAGCCAAAGCCACTCTGGACATGCCTGATGAAGAGTTTAGGTTCAATTTCTTTTAGCGTCTCCCCGAACCTGAAACAATCCCCCTCCCTTGGGGTGGTGTAGGGGTTTGTTTTGAGTGCAGAGCCTTTCCAGGACTTCTGTTGTCAGAGAACCCTGGAGTTGGTCTGTCCCTGGCTGGTCCAAGGATTTGTAGCTGTTGTGAAGGTGTGAGACCATCAGATAGGCAAAAGACCCCGTTCGTTTTCTGATGAAATGTTCTCTCTTTCAGAAGAGAGAGAGAGGTGCATTTAGAAAATATGCAATAAATTGAAGTGAGTGTTCAAAGTATTGTAGAAGGAATATTGTACTCAGTCTTTAGGATTAGATTAAGTGGCTGTTGGTAACAAAGATTAGTGGAGAAGCTGTATAATCGTACACTGGTTTTCACTTTTGAAAGGAATCCCTGTCAAATGGTTTAGTGCTTAATGCTGTTATGTCATATTGCCCTAATCTCTATTTTTGATAAAATTGGATAAGGAGTGAAAGAGTATGCTGACCACCTATGTTAGAGGAAGTACAGAAGATGCAGGGGTGTGGTATCCCTGGGTCCAGTCCCTCACCTGGTACCTTTGTGCATGTTGCCTTCATTCCTGAGCAGGTATCATCCTCAGGGAACCAGCATGGCACCTACCAGGCCAGGCTCTGTTCTTAGGAGCAAGGAGCTTCTTGCGCTAACAGTTCTGGCCTGAGACCTGGATTGAGCCTTGGCAGACTTCTTGTCTAAATGTTGGCCATTCAGTCTCAGGCCCTCTGTTCCATGGAATTGGGAATCTCCAGGTGACCTAATCCTCATTGGTGGCTTGATGTTTGCTGGTATCTTCCAAACTCAGTTCCCAGACTAGATTGATACCTGGAGCCCAGCTGCCTACTCAGCATTTCCACTTGGGTGCTTCATAGGCATTTCAAACCTGATGTGTTTAAAACACTTGATTAGGCTCCGGTTTTCCTTTGGCTTCTGCTTTTCAGTGAATGGCATGACTGCCTATGTGGGTGGCAAGCCACCCAGGTGCCGAGGAAAGAGACTGAGGGCACGAGCTGTTCCAGTATAATAAAATATATAAAATAAGAAGAGTTATACTAGATCTAGATCATAGACATGATTATATGTGAGTATCATTAATCATTAGTTTATAGCAATTACTCTTTATTCCAATATTATAATAATCCTCACTCTACAATCATAACCTAGGAAAAACCAGGCCATACAGAGATAGGAGCCGAGGGGACATAGTGCGAAGTGGCCAGAAGACAAGAGTGTGAGCCTTCTCTTATGCCCGGACAGGGCCACCAGAGGGCTTGGTCTAGCAGTAACACCAGTGTCTGGGAAGATGCCTGTTGCAAAGTGGACCATGGTCTAGCAGTAGCATCAGTGTCAAGGAAAAACACCCACTACTTAGCAGACTGGGAAAAGGAGCCTCCCTTTCCCCGGGGGAGTTTAGAGAAGACTACTCCTCCACCTCTTGTGGAGGGCCTGACATCAGTCAGGCCCGCCCGCAGTTATCCAGAGGCCTGTCTCCCTGTGATGCTGTGCTTCAGTGGTCACGCTCCTAGTCCGCTTTCATGTTCCATCCTGTATACCTGGCTCTGCCTTTTAGATAGCAGGAGCAAATTAGTGAAAGTACTAAATGTCTGATATGCAGAAATAATGGCATAAGCTGTCTCTCTCTCTTCTCTCTCTCTCTGCCTCTGCTGCCAGGCAGGGAAGGGCCCCCTGTCCAGTGGACACATGACCCATGTGACCTTACCTATTATTGGAGATGGTTCACATTCCTTACCCTGCCCCTTTGTCTTATATCCAATAAATATCAGTGCAGCCTGGCATTTGGGGCCACTACTGGTCTCCGCGTCTTGGTGGTAGTGGTCCCCCAGGCCCAGGTGTCTTTTCTTTTATCTCTTTGTCTTGTGTCTTTATTTCTACAATCTCTCATCTCTGCACATGGGGAGAAAACCCACTGACCCTGTGGGGCTGGACCCTACATCTGGCGCTCTGATGTGGGGCTCTCCCTCGCTGTGTGAGGTTGCACTCTGAGTGCGGGATTCAGCGGAGGATTTTGACAAGAGATTCCTGAGGATTGCTGTTAGTAAGCTTGGTGGTAAGCTTGAGCACTCAGAGTATTCTGGGGACACCATGGTACAAGCCAGTACTAAGTACTCAGCTTATTTAAATTTTATAAAAACTCTTCTTAAAGAAGGAGGGGTTTAAGTTTCTACTGAAAAGTTAATTGAACTATTTGCGGTTGTAAATCTTCTTTGCCCTTGGTTTCCGACTGAGGGAACTTGAGAACTTAAAGATTGGGATGAGATCGGCCAACAATTCAAAATTGCTCATAAAGGGGGACATTTTATTCCACCCACCATTTGGTCAATCTGGGCTTCGGTTCGCTCTGTCCTAGACTCCTTACAGACTCAGGACAGCATGGAGACTGATCCCTCTTTCCTCTCCCTGAGGAGGGCGAGGAATTTCTCACTTCTCTTTCCCCTGAGGATACTGCACAAATTGAGACCATAATTTCACAGGCGGAATTCCACTCTGACATGCCTGTGCCGCCACCACGTATGCAAGAGGCTACCGCACCCCCGTTGTCGCTTTATGATGATCTTTTAACTGACCCGAATGAACTTATTTCCCCCAACCAGCAAAACTCAGCTGAAACATGCCAACAACCATTGTGGACGCACCCCCCTGCTTCTCCTCACCCTGTCAACGCTGCCACCCTGCAGACAGAGGATGAGATCAGGCAGCCTGAAAACGAGGCTATAAATTGTTTCCATGCAGCCCGGTACAGAGGCTCTGATACCTGAACAGCCCGGAGAGGAGGCTTTCAATTCTCGGCCAGGTAATGAGGCCCGCAACGATATCCCTCCACAGCCTGGTTTTCTCATGCCTGGTCTTTTCCCCCCAATCAGACTCCGGTAGAACCACAGGCTCCCTTCAGGCCTGGTTCCTTTACTCCTAATCAGACTCGCTTAGAGTCATAGGCTCCCTTGAGACCTGGTTCTTTTCCTCCTACTCAGACTCGGCAAGAGTCACAGGCTGCCTTGAAGCCTGGTTCCTTTCCTCCTAATCAGACTTGGCTAGAATCACAGGCTCCCTTGAAGCCAGGTTCTCTTTCTCCTAATCAGACGTGGGTAGAGTCACAGGCTCCCTTGAAGCCTGGCTGCTTTCCTCCTATTCAGACTCAGTTAGAGTCACATGCTCCCTTGAGGCGTGGTTCCTTTCCTACTATTCAAATTCGGTTAGAGTCACAGGCTCCCTTGAGGCCTGGTTCCTTTCCTCCTACACAGACTCGGCTAGAGCCACAGGCTCCCTTGAGTCCTGGTTCCTTTCCTCCTAGTCAGACTCAGAGTCACAGGCTCCATTAAAGTCACAGGCTCCCTTGAGGCCTGATTCCTCCTAATCAGACTCAGTTAGAGTCACATGCTCCCTTGAGGTGCTGTTCCTTTCCTCCTACTCAGACTCAGAGACACAGGTTCCCTTGAGTCCTGGTTCCTTTCCTCCTAATCAGTCTCCATTAGAGTCACAGGATCCCTTGAGGCCTGGTTCCTTTTCTCCTAATCAGACTGGGTTAGAGTCACAGGCTCCCTTGAGGCCTGGTTCCTTTCCTTCTACTCAGACTCGGTTAGAATCACAGGCTCTGTTAAAGTCACAGGCTCTCTTGAGGCCTGGTTCCTTTCCTCCTAATGAGACTCGGTTAGAGTCACAGGCTCCCTTGAGGCACTGTTCCTTTCCTACTACTGAGACTCAGTTAGAGTCACAGGCTCCCTTGAAGCCAGGTTCTTTTCCTCATAATCAGACTCAGGTAGAGTCACAGGCTGCTTTGAATCCTGGTTGCTTTCCTCCTAATCAGACTTGTTTAGAGTCACAGGCTCCTTCAAGGCGTGGTTCGTTTCCTGCTACTCAGACTCAACAAGAGTCACAGGCTCCCTTGAGGCCTGGTTCCTTTCCTTCTAATCAGACTAGTCTAGAGTCACAGGCTCCCTTGAAGCCAGTTTCCTTTCCTCCTAATCAGACAGGGCTAGAGTTGCAGGCTCTCTTGAGTCCTGTTTTCTTTCCTCCTAATGAGACTCGGCTGGAGTCACAGGCTCCCTTGAAGCCTGGTTCCTTTCCTCCTACTTGGGCTCAGCTACAGTCACAGACTTCCTTGAAGCCTGGTCCATAGTTGCCATGGTAACCTGGCTTTCAGGCCCATGAAAGACCTGCTTAGCAGGTAATCTCTTCTCATCCTGGCTTTCAGGTTCTCAACTCTCCCTCTATTCAAAATTCCCACTTTTTTTCTGCTCCTTGTCCAGTCGCTATTGCTGTTGCCAACACTACCATTGCCTCGCAAAAACAACAAGTTACATGTATCTTTGAAAATGACACTCCACTTATGAGGGATATAGCTCAGGCAAGGGAATACAGGGATCCTGAAGCCTGGCAATTTCCTGTAGTTTTACAACGTACACTACCTGCCACCCCAGCAGCACAAAATCACCCACAGCCCATTGTTGATCCTGCTCAGCAGGCGGCTGACCCCGCTGCTTATCAAGATCAAGACGCTGATAATCATGCCCTTCAGCCCGACAGGCTGCTCAGAGTAATAATGAGGCTCCGCAATTGCCTGCCGCTGGGGCACAGCCTGTATCTGGCATTCCAGCTCTTCAGGTGGTAGTTCAACCTGACCCCATACATCCAGGTCAAGTTCAGCTATACCCTGCTACTTGCGAAAGTTTTTCTTTTAAATTTCTCAAAGAGTTCAAGGAATCAGTAGAACAATATGGCACCAACTCTCCTTTTGTCATTTCCACATTAAAAGCCCTGGCAGAAGGTGAATGTTTGGTTCCCTATGACTGGGAAATTTTAGCAAAGTCAGTCTTACCTAAGTCCCAGTATTTACAATTCAGGACTTGGTGGGTTGATGCTGTCCAGTAATGCATTTGTCTTAATCAGGGTTCTAATCCTCCTGCTAATGTTACGGCTGACCAGTTACTGGGAGTGGGTCTGTGGGCTGCAATTCGACACCAAACTATACTAAATGATGAGATTATTGAACAATTGCGGAAATGTTGCTTAAATGCTTAGGACAAGATTCAAGATGATGGTAAAGTATGCCCATCTTTCATGGCCATCAGACAGGGACAACATGAACCCTACTCAGACTTTATTGCTCATCTCCAGGACACAGCAGAAAAGGCTATCCCTGATAGCCATGGCCAATGACTTGTAGAACTCATGGCTTATGAACAAGCAAATCCAGATTGTCAGGCGGCTTTTCTTCCCGTCAAAGGCAAAATTCCACCAGGTGGTGAAATACTCACCTCCTACATTAAAGCCTGTGAAGGGGTGGGAGGAACTCTGCATACAGCAATGATCATGGCATGAGCTATGGCCTCTATTAGAATGCCTGGACAATTCTCTGGCCAATGCTTTATATGCGGCCAGAAAGGACATATAAAAAGAAATTCCCCCCGGCGTACAGGTCGCCGTTCTTTACAACACCACCAACAACAAAAAATTTTTCAGCAACCAAAAGTCCCAGCTTCTACTTTATGCCCATCATTCCGAAAGGGAATTCACTGGGCCACTCACTGTCATTCAAGATTTGATATTGATGGTTATCCTTTACAGCCTCTTAACATCCAGGAAAACAGGATGAGGGGCCGGACCCAGGCCCCTCTAAACAATGAGGCACTCCTCAGCTCCCAGCCCCCAGCGTCCAGCCAGACGGGAGCCTTCCCAGTCCAATCCATTCAACCTCCATCCTGATTCCCACTTCAGCAATTTGTGCCACAAGATCTAACGGCTTAGCCCCAGCACGAATCTCAGTACAATGCTTGTCCCCCACCACCACAGGATCAGCGGCAGTGGATCTCTGTTGTACCAGAGATATTTCTTTGTTGCCTGGAGAGCCACGTATTGCTGTTCCCACTGGTGTTTTTGGTCCCTTGCCGACTGGCAGTGTCGGTTTGCTACTGGGTCATTCAAGTCTAAACTTAAAAGGTGTTCAAGTACATACTGGTGTAATTGATTCTGAATATTCAGGTGAAATTCATATTGTCATTAGCTCTACAGTCCCTTGGAATGTGGCAGCTGGGGACTGCATTGCTCAACTTCTGATACTTCCTTACATTCCTTTAGGATCCAGTTCTTGTACGAGAAACGGAGGTTTTGGTAGCACAGATTATCAAGGTAAAGCAGCTTATTGGGCCAGCAAAATTTCTGACACTCATCCTGTGTGCCCCGTGCATATTCAGGAGAGAAAGTTTGAGGGAATCATTGATAGGGGCGCTGATGTTTCTATTATCGCTTTACATCAATGGCCCCGACATTGGCCAGAGAAGCATGCGTCCACAGGATTAGTTGGTGTTGGTCAGGCTTCAGAAGTATATGAAAGTTCCACAATTTTACATTGCACAAGCCCTGAAGGACCCTGCCACCACAGGATCAGCAGCAGTAGATCTCTGTTGTACCAGAGATATTTCTATTGGAAATATTGGAACTATTGGAACTATTTGCCCCCTCATTACACGCATTCCTGTTAACCTATGGGAAAGAGATCTTTTATATCAGTGGGGGGCACAGATTTCTTTTCCGGAAGGCAATGACAGCCAGCAGAGTAAAGATGTTATGACCAAAATGGGATTTGTTCAAGGTATGGGCTTAGGAAAATTAGCACAAGGCATCACCGAGCCTATTATACCTACTGATGAATCAGACTACAGGACTTGGTTATTCTTTTTAGAAGCGGTCACTATCAAGCCTGCAGATCCCATCCCTTTGACCTGGAAAACTCAGAAACCGGTCTGGGTAGATCAGTGGCCGTTCCCAAAAAATAAGCTGGAGGCACTTCATATTTTGGTTCTTGAACAGTTAAAATTGGGACACATCGAATCCTCTTTTTCTCCCTGGTATTCACCTGTCTTTGTTATCCCAAAGAAATCTGGTAAGTGGCGAATGCTTACTGATCTTAAGGTGGTAAATGCTGTCCGTCAGCCTATGGGAACATTACAACCCAGTTTGCCCTCCCCCACTATGATTCCTGAGTATTGGCCACTTATCATCATTGACCTTAAAGATTGCTTCTTTACCATTCCTGTGGCCCCTCAGGACTTTGAAAAATTTGCTTCGTTGTTCCAGCCCTTAACAACATCACTCCTGCAGCACGTTACCATTGGAAAGTCCTACCTCAAGGTATGCTTAATAGCCCTACTATTTGTCAATATTATGTGGGATGCATATTAAAGCCAGTAAGAGATTAATTTCCCCAATGTTATGTTATTCATTACACAGATGATATTCTTTGTGCAGCACCTTCATGCTCTGTATTAATATCTTGGTTTTCTGCATTACAACAAGCAGTTACAGCAGCTGGCTTGGTTATCGCTCCAAAAAAATTCAGACTTCTTACCCTTATCACTAGGAATGCAGCTAGAGGACAAGGTCATTAAGCCTCAAAAAGTTCAACTCAGATGAGACTCCCTAAAAACTCTAAATGATTTCCAAAAATTACTAGGAGACATTAATCGGATTCCTCCCTCCTTAGGCATTCCTACTTATGCTATGTCTAATCTTTTTGCAACGTTGTGGGGCAATCCTGATTTATGCAGCAAAAGGTCCTTGACTCCTGAGGCAGATTCTGAATTACAATTTATAGAAAAATGCATTCAACAGTCTCAGGTTACCAGAGTGAATCCACATTTACCTTTTGAAATGTTGATAGATAGTGTAAACTTCTACTGGGGAGTCCATCCAGGAGACAGACCGAATTAAAGGGGGAAAAGGAACATATGCCCAGTAAGTATAATTTTGAGTTGCCCCAACTGGTGGTATACTTACGGCTGCACTGACTACCATAAAGGCAGCCAGAATTATATTACCCGTCGTTTCTGGAATTTCTTTTTCTTTTAATAAATTTTCCTACTTAACCCAGTAGCAAACGACCCAGTAGCAAACCGACACTGCCAGTCGGCAAGGGACCAAAAACACCTGTGGGAACAGCAATAGGTGGCTCTCCAGGCAGCAGAGAAATATCTCTGGTGCAACAGAGATCTACTGACGCTGATCCTGTGGTGGCAGGGGGCAGTAATGTTCCTACTTAACATTCACCAACAGGACTCATTATTCAGGGACATAATTTAATTGAATGGTGTTTTCTTCCACACAGCTCTTTATGGACACTAACTATTTACCTAGATCAAATTTCTATCTTAATTGGTCAGGCTCATTCTCGTGTCCTTCGTCTTTTGGGTACAGAGCCCCAAAAAATCATTGTTCCCCTTACCCAGTTACAAGTTGAACAGGCTTTTGCTACTTGCATCACTTGGCAAGTACATTTGGCAGGTTTCTCGGGTATAATTGATAATCATTATCCTAATGCGAAATTATTTCAGTTCCTTAAACTCACTTCTTGGATTTTTCCTAACATTACTAGAAACACCCCATTAGCTGAAGCTGTCACTGTTTTTTCTGATGCTTCCTGTAATGGCCGAGCAGCATATACAGGGTCAAGAGAACGTGTTCTTAGCACAGGGGCTATTTCAGCACAACGAGCTGAGCTGCTTGCTTTATGGCTGTCCTTGAAGATATCCCTAAAACAGTTAACATTGTCTCTGACTCAGCTTATGTAGTACATGTTGCTGGCAACATTGAAACTGCCTTGATCAAATTTCTTCCTGATGATAACCTACTCATTCTTTTTCAAAGGTTTCAGTCTGTGATCAGAGCAAGGTCTTCTCCTTTCTACATTACTCACATTCGGGCCCACACATCCCTCCCTGGACCCCTCTCGGCAGCAAATGCCTGAGCTGATACTCCCGTTTTTACAGATGCAGAAAATTTTCATGCCTTAACTCACGTCAATGCTGTGGGACTCCAAAAAAAGTTCCCCCACATGGAAACAAGCTAAAACCATTGTGCGCCACTGTCCTACTTGCCAAGTGTTAATTTTACAGCCACTGTCTTCAGGAGTTAACCCTAGAGGACTTTCACAGAACCCTCTCTGGCAAATGGACGTGACTCATTATCCTGCTTTTGGCAAGCTCTCTTTTATACATGTAACTATCGACACTTTTTCTCATTTTATCTGGGCCACTTGTCACCCAGGGGAAAGTACAGCTCATGGTAAACGACATGTGCTTTCATGTTTCTCGGTTATGGGCTGTCCTGAGAAACTGAAAACTGATAACGGCCCCGGCTACACTGGTGCTGCTTTTAAAAAGTTCACTCAAACATGGGCAATTACTCACACAACTGGCATCCCCTGTAACTCTCAAGGACAGGCCTTGGTGGAATGAGCCAATAAAACACTCAAAAATCAACTTTGAAAACAGGACACTAAAACAAAGAGGGATGCTGCTACTCCTCATGCTCAATTAAATCTGGCTCTTTTTACCCTAAATTTCTTAAACATAGCAAGAAATCAACCTTTTTCCACAGCAGAACAATATTTCACTGGAAATAAATTTGATCCACAAAAAGGAATGCGGGTATGGTGAAAATATTCAAAAACTAACAATGGGACTTAGGCACAGTTGTAACATGGGGTAGGGGTTTTGCTTGTGTTTCCCCAGGAAAAGGACTACAGCCCATGTGGGTCCCCTCCCGACAATTAAAATTGTACCATAACTCCAAAGATGAAACGCTCCCGGAAACAAAAGGCAAAGACTCCTCAAACCAAAGAGCAACTTTTGCTGCCTGACACATAAACTTCATGACCTCGACATTGAGACAAGATCTCGCCATGTGACATATAACACCTCTCATTAAACTCCACCAACATGGGGTCAAATAAAAGTTTTGTCTCATCAAACAGAAAATTTATTAAAAGAAAAAGGAATCCCAGAAACAACAGGTAATATAATTCTGGCTGCCTTTATGGTAGTCAGTGCAGCCATAAGTATACCACCGGTTGGGGCAACTCAAAATTATACTTACTGGGCATATGTTCCTTTTCCCCCTTTAATTTGGTCTGTCTCCTGGATGGACTCCCCAGTAGAAGTTTACACTAATAAT
Source organism: Homo sapiens (assembly GCF_000001405.40). Lineage (NCBI taxonomy): Eukaryota > Metazoa > Chordata > Mammalia > Primates > Hominidae > Homo > Homo sapiens. The sequence continues at coordinate 21,573 of NW_025791783.1, forward strand.
AGTGCATTCATCCCAGTCCCTAATGATGATAGGTTTCCAGCTCAACCGGAAGATGAAAGTATGCACTTTAATCTGTCAATTGGCTATAAATATCCACCACTATGCATTGGGATGTCTTCTGGCTGTTTAGCTTATTCTTACCAGAATTGGATGTGGACCGTACCGTCCTTTACAAATGATTCTTATCGAGTATATAATGTGTTCAATACCAATTCTTTTCAAGTTCTCACTGTCAAACTTAATCCACCTGAGGAATGGAGAGTTCCTGTCACTACTAAAATTAATAAAAGGACTGCCAGACTGACCAAAGAAACCTACAAAGCGACCTTTTATAGTGACTTCAATTTTATGGAATAATTGTAATGCTCCCAAGGCTGTTGTGCTCCAAAGTCTAGCCACGGGTATTGTTATTGGTTGGGCTCCAAAAGGGCATTAGTGGCAAGATTGCTTTGGCAAAAAAACCTCATGCTCGGAGTTTAATTATTTGTTAGATTATATAGATGATGGATGGCAGTCATACAGGTTGAGACAATGGGTGTCTCCTTACCCATTTAAATGGATGGCTGCAGGCATTGTTCTTCCTAGACCAAAAATGATTCATCCCTTTGTTACCCCAGAACATCCTGAATTATGGAAATTAGCTGCAGCTATGACAGGAATAAGGATATGGAACACTACCTATCAACTCCTTCACACTAATACCAAAACACCCACATTCAACATCACCTTGATATCTGAACAGATGATACTCATCAGGAGCTGTGTCAAACCCCCTTACGTGCTGTTGGTTGGAAATATAATTATCATTCCCAATACACAAACTACAGAATGTGATAAGTGTAAGCTGTTCACGTGCATTGATGCTACTTTTAATCCCACAACAAGTATTCTCTTGGTAAGGGCTAGGGAGGGGTATGGATACCAGTTTCTTTACATCGTCCTTGGGAGTCTTCCCCCTCTATACACATAGTCAATGAAGTTCTTAAAGGTATCCTCAAAAGAACAAAGGGATTTATTTTTACTCTTGTTACAGTCCTTGCAGGTCTAATTGCAGTTACTGCAACAGTGGCAACCGCTGGAGTTGCCATCCACAATTCTGTTCAAACCACTCAATATGTTGAAGCATGGCAAAAAAATGCCTCCAGACCTTGGAATTCTCAGGCTCAAATTGATCAAAAATTAGCTAATCAAATTAATGATGTTCACCAGAGTGTAATCTGGCTGGGAGACAGAGTTACGAATTTGGAACATTGTATGCAATTACAGTGTGATTGGAATACTTCTGATTATTGCATAATGCCTTATGCTTGTAATAAAGATCAGCATAGCTGGGAAAAGGTCTCAAGACAGTTAAAAGCCTGGGATGATAACTTAACCTTGGATATTTCAAAATTTAAAGAGCAAATTTTCGAGGCTTCACAAGCTCATTTATCCACTGTTTCTGGCTCAGACATTTTTGAAGGAATAACTAAAGAACTATCTGATCTTAATCCCTTTAAATGGATCAAACCCCTCGGAGGATCATTGTTGTCACTGGCATTATTAATATTGGTATGCTTATGTTGTCTCCTTTTAGTCTGCAGATGCCTCCAAGAAGTCCAAAAACAAGTCCGAAGTCCGACGAGCAATGGTGGCGATGGCGATTCTAGTTAATAAAAAGGGGGGAGATGTGGGCGGCAAGCCACCCAGGTGCTGAGGCAAGAGACCGAGGGCACAAGCTGTTCCAGTATAATAAAATATATAAAATAAGAATAGTTATACTAGATATAGATCATAGAGATGATTATATATGAATATCATTAATCATTAGTTTGTAGCAATTACTGTTTATTCCAATATTATAATAATCCTCACTCTACAATCATAACCTAGGGAAAACCAGGCCATACAGAGATAAGAGCTGAGGGGACATAGTGAAAAGTGACCAAAAGACAAGAGTGTGAGCCTTCTCTTATGCCCAGACAGGGCCACCAGAGGGCTCCTTAGTCTAACGGTAACGCCAGCATCTGGGAAGATGCCCGTTGCCAAGCGGACCATGGTCTAGTGGTAGTATCAGTGTCAAGGAAAAACACCCACTACTTAGCCGACCAGGAAAGGGAGTCTCCCTTTCCCTGGGGGAGTTTAGAGAAGACTCTACTCCTCCACCTCTTGTGGAGGGCCTGACATCAGTCAGGCCCACCCGCAGTTATCCGGAGGCCTAGCCATCTCCCTGTGATGCTGTGCTTCAGTGGTCATGCTCCTAGTCTGCCGTCATGTTCCATCCTGTACACCTGGCTCTGCCTTTTCGGTAACAGTAGCAAAATTAGTGAAAGTACTAAAAGTCTCTGATATGCAGAAATAATGGCGTAAGCTGTCTCTCTCCTCTTTCTCTCTGCCTCGGCTGCCAGGCAAGGAAGGGCCCCCTGTCCAGTGGACACATAAGCCACATGACCTTACTTATGACTGGAGATGGCTCACACTCCTTACTCTGCCCCTTTGTCTTGTATCCAATAAATATCAGCGCAGCCTGGCATTCAGGGCCACTACAGGTCTCCGCATCTTGGTGGTAGTGGTCCCCCAGGCCCAGCTGTCTTTTCTTTTATCTCTTTGTGTTGTATCTTTATTTCTCCAATCTCTTGTCTCTGCACACGGGGAGAAAACCCACCGACCCTGTGGGGCTGGACCCTACATGCCTGTCTAGTTGATTTGGCAGCAAGCCTGTGTCATCCTCAATTGCTGTCTCCCCAGCACTGCATACTTTTTTTTCTTTTTTTTTTTTTTTGAGGAGCTTTGCTCTTCTTGCCCAGGCTGGAGTGTGACGGTGTGATCTTGGCTCACTGCAACCTCTGCCTCCTGGGATCAAGCGATTCTCCTGCCTCAGCCTCCCGAGTAGCTGGGATTACAGGTGTGCACCACAATGCCCGGCTAATTTTGTATTTTTAGTAGAGATGGGGTTTCTCCATGTTGGTCAGGCTGGTCTTGAACTCCTGGCCTCAGGTTATCCACCCACCCTGGCCTCCCAAAGTGCTGGTATTACTTATATACTTTTAATACTTCAACTGGCATATCAGATCTGTCTTCAAAATAAATCTCAAGTATTTCACGTTTTCTTTATCCTCACTGCTGCTCATTCTACTTAATGACTGTTCTTACCCTGCCTACTGTGTTAGCCAGACTGCCCCTTCATGTATGTTGGATCACTGTCTTCTGATTCAGTGACTTCACTGTACCTAGGATATGATATGAAGGCTGATGTACAAGGCCCTGCCTAGGCCTGCACATGTTTATGCTCCTGACGGCCTCTCTGATGTTGTCTCCCTCTGCTCCTGGGGTAACTGGACTTAATTCAAGGTCTTCAACCTTGCTCTTCCTTTTGCCTGGATTATTCTTCCTCCAGATCTTAGCATAACTGGCTTCCAGGAAAGTAAACATCAGCTTTGTGTGAGAAAGCTCTGCCCTATCATTCATCAGGCCGAGGTAACAGATTTAGGAAACAGATTTCCTGCATGGTCACTGCAGATTTAAAGTGTCATAATGACCCCATTGAGTGTCTGTTTTCCCACTGAGAATCCTTGTTTATTAAAATCATGGACAACCACTTTGCTGTTAGAAATCATCAGTAGGAAGGAAATGTCTGATCTCAAAAAGATTCCTTGATTTACAACCCAGATGCAGAGCTTCAAGTAAGGGGGTTTAGAACTCTGCATCTCAAGGAAACAGAAGCCTGGTTCACTTCACAATTCAGACCAGGTCTTTTCCCCACTACCCAGCCCTGTCTTGTTATGTGCCCATGAAAACACTGTTGCATTTACATTTCACCTAAACACGCTTTTGCTAAATCTTCTAATACTCCTGTCTCTTGTGAGATGCCTCATGGGTCTGATGTTTGGTCTTCCATATTAGAATGAGCCAATAAACTAACTGTCCACTAGGAACTTGGGATGATTGGACTAGGACTGTCCTTATCTTTTGGATCTTATCACCTTGCTGCCCCTCCGGCATCCCCCATTGGTGGTTGGCTCTTTGCTCCTCAAATCTTTTTCTATGAGTTTGGAGTGCTTGAGTAAAGGAGATGCTAGGGCAGATCTTCCCCTTTTTCCTTTGCTAGGGTATCCATGGTTCTTCCTCCAGGGGTTCCCTATTGGGCCCTGTTAAAACCACCCATTCTTGGTCTGTCCAGCCTAAGTGTCCCAGTTTGACTTGAGGATCAGGTTGGGGTTGGGTTAGGGTGAGGGTGATGGAGAGGGTTAGAGAGTGATGGGGGGTTTAGGGTGAGTCTTAGGGGTTAGAGTAAGGGTTAGAGGGTGAAGGTGAGGTTTTAGAGTGAGAGGATTGGGTTAGAGTTAGTTTTGGGTCAGTGATGTGGTTAGTGTTAGAGATTAGGTGTTAGGGATGATGGTCTAAGGGTTAGAAATTAGGTGAAGTTAGGGTTTGGGGTCATAGATTCAGATTCGGCTTGCAGAGCTGTTTGTCACTAACATCATTGTTTGCCTTCTGCTATAATCCCTCCATCACCTCTAATTTCAAACCCTTCCTTAACCTGGCAGAACTCAACTAAGGGCTTCTCTTATCTTAGCATGGTTATCATCAGGTTCCATTTCCCTTGGAAGCTTGTTCATACTTACCCATATTATTTTGTAATGTGTGCAGAGATATCTGGCTCTCTAAAATGTTATTTAAATCCTATGACCTCAAGTTAACAAGTGGATTTTTGGCAACCTTAGATTTTCTCCTTTAAGCATTCTTAGAGCAGAGCTGCTTCCTCACAGAGGATTTTAAAGTATTCTTCTTGGTTGCTTTACAAGATAATTTTGCAGCTTGCATATTTTTCTTCAACATCTTAAAAGGTTTCATCTACTTTTAGGCAGGGCGCCATGGCTCACACCTGTAATCCCAGCACTTTGGGAGGCCTAGGCAGGTAGATCACTTCCAGAAGTTTGAGACCAGCCTTGCCAACATGGTGAAACCCCGTCTCTACTAAAAATACGATATTTAGCCAGGCGTAGTGGCGCACGCCTGTAATCCCAGCTACTCGGGAGGCTGAGGCAGGAGAATGGCTTGAACCCAGTAGGCAGAGGTTGCAGTGAGCTGAGATCACGCCATTGCACTGCAGCCTGGGTGACAAGAGTGAAACTCCGTCTCAAAAAAGAAAAGAAAATAAAAAAGTTTCATTTACTTTCTTCATTACGTTTGATAAATTTACCAACTCTAAGTCCATCTGTTTTTCATGGGTTTGGCATCATTTACTGTCACCCTGTAGCAGGACGAGTCGCAGACAAAACTCGTCAGACACCGGATTAAAGAAGGAAGAGGGTTTTTATTCGGCCAGGAGCATCAGCAGACTCATGTCTTAAGAGCCGAGCTCTCCAAAAAATAAATTCCTAGCCCTTGTAAGGGTTTACAACTCTAAGGGGTCCACGTGAAAGGGTCATAATAGATCAAGTAAGCGTGAGGAACGTGACTGGGGGCTACATACATCAGCTAACAGAGCAAAAAGTTTCACAGTGCTTTCTCATACAGTGTCTGGAATTTACAGATAACACCAGTAGTTTTGGTCAGGGGTTAACATTATTATTATTTTAACCACCATGGCCAGGTGGTGGCGCCAAGGTCGTCTCGCTATTTATCCTCTGTTTCTTTCCAACTTTTTGCTTTCTCCCTTTTCTCCTGCCTTATAAACTAGGGAAAAGGGGAGATTGGGGAGAAGCTGGGAAGGACAACAGGAGAAGTGGTGGTCTCATTCTGTATTTCCCCCCTTTGAGAATTTTCACTTCTTAGTGGGAGTTCTCACTCTCATCTTCACTTTCTGGGTCTCTTTGTGAGATAGAGCGATAGTGATTTATATAATACACATGTGCTGAAGTTTTTTGATGAACCAAAGTAGCAACAAAACTTTTTATCATTTGAAAAAGCAAGAGTAATACACAGGGGAGCAGTAAGGAAGTTCCTATTACTAGCAATACACCTACAATGAGGGTTTTAAATCCTCCTATAGCTGGAAACCATTTTCCAAATAAAGACTCAGGATCAAACTCGTGCCAAACCTGTACAGGCACATCTGCCAACTTTGTCATGTCCCTGACTATGTTTTCAACCACCTGTCCTTGATCATCTATTTGTAGGCAGCAATTGGTTAAGTTAAATTTTCTATGAACTCCTCCTTCAGCTGCGAGCAAGTAGTCCAAGGCCAGTCTATTCTGATAGATAACATTTCTCATTTGGGTTTCCTGCCAAGCTAAAACAGTCAAAGCTCTGCCAGTTTAATTAGTAATTATTTCTAAGACAGCCTGCAACTATATGATCCGATTGAGCATGTAGATGGGGGTTCGGTATCCCTATGAGCCGTCTTGTGCCCATGTGGCAGGCCCATAATACTGTATGATCCTTTCAGGGGGCCACTCATTATCTTTCCTATAACTATGCCTCTCTTTTCTCGGGAGGCATAGACAGGGAAAATTAGGAGCTCACCCGTTTTTATGGGGATGGCTTAATAGTGCCAATAACACAACTGCCTGCCCACTTATTAGGTAACTGAATGTAGGCTCTGTGCCCACATTTCCAGTATAGGCCAGCGGGAGCTGCCCAGTCCTGATGAGATTCTGGATGAGCCCAGGCAGTTTTTAATTTAGAAAATTTACTAAATGGGTTCTTTTCAGTGTGGTTTAGGCCCCACCAAGTAATTGTCTTTGTTGTGCTGTTGTACAACTTCTGTCCTATACAATTAAGCTTTCCTACAGGGATGATAAATTCTTTTCCTTCTCTAGCTATACAGTATTGTCCAATAATTGAGGTTTTTAGGACCCAGAAGTTGCTAACTTGGGCCTTCTGAACTGGAATTATATTAGGAGCTGGATCAGTAGGCACCAACTCTCAGGCTTCCCAAGGCCATCGGTCTCCGATAGTGGTTTCCCCGCATATATAAGATGTAACATTAAGTGAATGAGCTACATTTCCTGCTAATTGGAGAAACAAATTTTTTGTCTTTTTCGGAAGTTCTGGTGCTGGCAGATTCAGCTCCTCATAAAAGGTTTGAAACACTGGTTTGGGAGAGCGCTTGTGGACTTCCCCTCTAACTAAAATGGCAACTTGGGGGTTTAACCCTGTCCCATCGATCCCCAGGGTTACACATTCTCCCTTTTTCCAAGGAGGATCTAGGGGATTGGTAATTATTAGTTCTAGTGGGTTACAGTGACCGGCAGCACAGGAGGGGTTGGCTTCCCCCTTCTGAAGATGAACAGGGTCCTTTTTGTTCTTTTTCCAAGTAGCCCAAATAACACATGGCCAAAAGGCACAATTTTCACAAACCCCTGACTCATGACAAACATATTTATTTTGTACTCTGTAGCTCCTTTCCCAGTTAAGAGAACCACATCGTGTTCCTAACTTGTTACTATTAATGGCTGCACGAGCATCAAATCTTAAAGTTATTTGTTTGGGGCTTCCTTTTTCTACTGTTCTAGTTATTATTTTACTTGTGTCACCTAGGAAAAGGCCAGTTCTTAATCTTATTTCAAAAACGGTGGTTGCAGGGGGCTCAGATGGGTTATAACACACATCGGGTCGGTCATTTCCTGGGCTACATACCTTGTACTGAGTGGCATTATACAAACAAGTTTCTTTTAATGTTCCCATACATTCATAATAACTATAGAACAGAAAGTTTGTTTTAATTTGCTGTCCTACCTCGGTGACCTGATGAATACTCTGGGAACAGTCCCCAGTTTGAGTAAGGTCAATTGAAGCCCTTACTGTGTAAGTCCAAAATTTAAGAAAAATGAATCCCACGATGAGCTTCCTCATGCTTCGGCCGTGCGTGGACCAGTCAGCTTCCGGGTGTGACTGGAGCAGGGCTTGTCGTCTTCTTCAGGGTCACTCTGCAAGGGTTGTCTGGGCTTGGTCTTGCCTCCCAGGTTTCAGACGGTTTCATGGTGTTCTCTTTGAGCTGGAATTATAGTTGACATTTCATTATAATTTATTAGCTGTTCTAGACTTTATGCATTTATGTGACATTTTCTTTGTTGTACTTTAAGTTCTGGGATACATGGGCAGAGCATGCAGGTTTGTTACATAGGTATACACGTGCCATGGTGTTTGCTGCACCCATCAACCCGTCATCTACATTAGGTATTTCTCCTAATGCTATTCCTCCCCCAGCCTCCCACCCCCCGACAGGCCCCAGTGTGTGATGTTCCCCTCCCTGTGTCCATGTGTTCTCTTTGCTCAACTCCCACTTATAAGTGAGAACATGCAGTGTTTGGTTTTCTTTTCTTCTTTTTCTTTCTTTTTTTTTTTTTGAGACAAAATTTCACTCTTGTTGCCCAGGTTGGAGTGCAATGGCATGATCTTGGGTTACCGCAACCTCTGCCTCCCGGGTTCAAGCGACTCTCCTGCCTCAGCCTCCCAAGTAGCTAGGATTACAGGCATGTGCCAACATGCCTGGCTAATTGTGTGTATTTTTAGTAAAGACGGGGTTTCTCCATGTTGGTCAGGCTGGTCTCAAGCTCCCCACCTCAGATGATCTGCCCACCTCGGCCTCCCAAAGTTCTGAGACTACAGGCATGAGCCACTGCTCCTGGTCTGGTTTTCTTTTCTTGTGTTAGTTTGCTGAGAATGATGGTTTCCAGCTTCATCCATGTCCCTGGAAAGGACATAAATTCGTAGTATTCCATGGTGTATATGCGCCACATTTTCTTTATCCAGTTTATCATTGATGGGAATTTGGGTTGGTTCCAAGTCTTTGCTATTGTGAAGAGTGCTGAAATAAACATACAGTGCATGTGTCTTTATAGTATAATAATTTATAATGCTTTGGGTATATACCCCATAATGGGATTTACACTCCTACCAACTAATTTACACTCCTACCAACAGTGTAAAAGCATTCCTATTTCTCCACAGCCTCGTCAGCATCTGTTGTTTCCTGACTTTTTAATAATGGCCATTCTAACTGGTGTGAGATGGTATCTCATTGTGGTTTTGATTTGCATTTATCTAATGACCAGTGATGATGAGCTTTTTTCAATATGTTTTTTGGCCACATAAATGTCTTCTTTTGAGAAGCATCTGTTCTTTTCCTTTGGCCACTTTTTGATGGGGTTGTTTTTTTCTTGTAAATTTGTTTAAGTTCTTTGTAGATTCTGGATATTAGCCCTTTGTCAGACAGATTGCAAAAATTTTCTCCCAGTCTGTAGGTTGTCTGTTCACTCTGATGAGTTTATTTTGCTGTCCAGAAGCTCTTTAGTTTAATTAGATCCCATTTGTCAATTTTGGCTTCTGTTGCCGTTGCTTTTGGTGTTTTAGTCATAAAGTCTTTGCCCATGCCTATGTCCTGAATGGTATTGCCAAGGTTTCTTCCAGGGTTTTTATGGTTTTAGGTCTTATGTTTAAGTCTTTATTCCATCTTGAGTTATTTTTTTTGTATAAGGTGTAAGGAAGATGTCCAGTTTCAGTTTTCTGCATATGGCTAGCCAGTTTTCCCAACATGATTTATTAAATAAGGAATCCTTTCCCATTGCTTGTGTTTGTCAGGTTTGTCAAAGATCAGATGGTTGTATGTGTATGGTCTTATTTCAGAGTTCTGTATTCTGTTTCATTGGTCTATGTGTCTGTTTTTGTACCAGTACCATGCTGTTTTGGTTACTGTAGCCTTATAGTATAGTTTGAAGTTGGGTAGTGTGATGCCTCCAGCTTTGTTCTTTTTGCTTAGAATTGTCTTGGCTATTTGGGCTCTTTTTTGCTTCATGAGAATTGTAAAATAGTTTCTTCTAATTCTGTGAAGAATGTCATTGGTAGTTTAATGGGAATAGCATTGAATTCTTCTATAAATTACTTTGGGCAGTACGGCCATTTTCATGAATTAATTCTTCCCTATCCATGAGCATGGAATGCTTCTCCATTTATTTGTGTCCTATCTGATTTCTCTGGGCAGTGGTTTGTAGTCCTCCTTGAAGAGGTTCTTCACTTCGCTTGTTAGCTGTATTCCTATGTATTTTATTCTCTTTGTAGCAATTGTGAATGAAGTTCATTCATGATTTGGCTCTCTACTTGCCTGTTGTTGATGTATAGGAATACTAGCGATTTTTGCACATTGATTTTGTATCCTGAGATTCTGTTGATGTGATTCATCAGCTTAAGAAGCTTTTGGGCTGAGATTCCAGTACTATGTTGAATAGGAGTGGTGAGAGAGGCCATCCTTGTCTTGTGCCTGTTTTCAAGGGGAATGCTTCCAGCTTTTGCTCATTCAGTATGATATTGGCTGTGGGTTTGTCATATATGGCTCTTATTATTTTGAGGTGTGATCCTTCAATAGCTAGTTTATTGAGAGTTTTTGACATGAAGCGATGTTGAATTTTATTGAAGGCCTTTTCTGCATCTGTTGAGATAATCGTGTTGTTTTTGTGTTTAGTTCTGTGTATGTGAGGAATTACATTTATAGATTTGCCTGTGTTGAACCAACCTTGTATCCCAGGGATGAAGCCATCTTGATCGTGGTGGGTCAAGGTACCCTTATCAGTGTTAGGTTCAGTCTTTTTACATAATCCCATATGTCTTGAAGGTTTTGTTCATTCTTTTTTGGTCTTTTTTCTCTATTCTTCTCTGTTCTTTTTTCTCTATTCTCTCTTCCTGTCTTAGACAGATGGTTTTGAAGCTCTGAGATTCTTTCCTCCACTTGGCCTATTCTGCTAGTGATACTTGTGGTTGCATTGTGAAGTTCTCGTGTTGTGTTTCTCAGGTCTATCGGGTCAGTTATGTTCCTCTCTAAACTGAATATTCTGGTTATCAGCTTCTCTAATTTCTTTTATGATTTTTAGCTTCCTTGCATTAAGTTAGAATGTGCTTCTTTAGCTCAGTGAGGTTTGTTATTACCCACCTCCTAAAGCCTACTTTTGTCAATTCAGCCATCTCAGCCTTGGGTCGGTTCTGTGCCCTTGCTGGGGAGGTGTTGTCATTTAGATGAGAAGAGGCATTCTGCCTTTTTGAGTTTTCAGCATTTTTGTGTTGATGCTTTCTCATCTTTGTGGGCTTATCTACCTTTGATCTTTGACATTGCTGACCTTTGGCAGAGCAGGAGTGCTGTACTGATCTCCGGGATTCTCCAGAGCCAGCAGGCTGGGAAGGCTGAGTCGGCTGAACTGGGGAGACAGCAGCTACCCCTCTCCTTGGGGACTTCATCCCAGGGAGAAATCAGAGTTCTGTCCATAGAACTCTGGCTGGAGTTGCTAAAATTCCGATGGGGAGGCCCTGTCCAGTGAGGAGGGATGGATTTTGGTCTCACTTAAAGAAGCAGCCTGGCCACGATCAGGCTCAGCAGCTGTGCTGTGTTATGGGGAATTCCTCCTGGTCCCTAGTGCCAGCAGGCTAGAGCAGCCAACTCAAACCACAGATAGAGCGGCTGCCCTCCCCCGGGAACTCGGTCCATCTCCGGCTGTCTCGAGCCTGCTGCCGCTGGCCAGCTGGAATTCCAAGCTAATGGGTCTTGTGAGGTGCTGTGGGAGTGGGGCCTCAGAATGATGTCACTTGGCTCCCTGGATTCAGCCCCCTTCCTAGGGAAATGCACGGATTTATCTCCCGATTTGCTGGAATTCTCGGGGCAGAGGATGCAAAACTCCTGGGTTTCCACGCATGCCCCAGTGAGCCAGCGAGCACTCCGCCGAGACTCTACACAGCTCTTTGCTTCAGACCCAAGGCCATGGCTGAGCTCACCAGGGGACCTCCTGATCTGCAGGTTGCAAAGATCCCTGGGAGAAGCATGGTTTCCCGGGCAGAGTCGCACAATCCCTAACCGCCCCCCTTGGCTGCGAGTGGGGGGCTCCCTTAGCTTCTTGCCACACCTGGGTGGGCCATCACCCCATTTGCTTTTCCTCACTCCCTGTGGGTCGAGCTGACTGCCTAGTCAGTCCCAATGCAAGAACCTGGATACCTCAATTGAAGGTGCAGAATTCACTCGCAGTTTTCACTGCTCTCCGTGAAAGCTGCAGGCCACAGCTGCTTCTAATAGGCCAGCTTGGCCCCATCTTAAGTATGATTTCTTAATACATGAGATATTTTAAATACGTTACAATATTTATCAAGAAGAAACATGATCAATAGGAAACCTGCATGTCCTTGAACATTATAGAAATTTTAATTTCTCTTAAAATTATTCATGATAAAAATCTGTACTTTGCACATTTAAGAGAGATAAAAGCAGAGGGCAGGGACCTCCCTGATCCTGATAAGAGCACCCAAAGCACAAAGGATGTGTCTTTATCTCCTCCCAACTCCACAGTGGAAACAGTTGCTCTGGTTATCTTATCGCAGTGATGCACAGAGACATGATGGTCAAAGAGCTTGCACACTTTAAAAAAGAAATGTTGGCTGGGCACGGTTGCTCACATCTGTAATCCCAGCACTTTGGGAGGCCGAGGCCGGTGGATCACGAGGTCAGGAGTTTAAGACCAGCCTAGTCAAGATGGTGAAACCCCGTCTCTACTAAAAATACAAAAATTAGTCAGGCACGGTGGCAGGAACCTGTAATCCCAGTTACTTGGGAGGCTGAGGCAGAGGAATCGCTTGAACCAGGGTGGTGGAGGTAGCAGTGAGCCGAGATCTAGCCACTGCATTTCAGCCTGGGTGACAGAGTGAGATTCTGTCTCAAAAAAAAAAGAAAAAAAAAGTTATATTTTGTTGAGATTAAAAAAATAAATGACATGATTTGTCTACAGATCTTCATTACTCTACCTCATTTACATTAAAGTTATGAACAACTTAAATAATAAAATAACACACAGGGCCTTTATTGTTATTATTGTGATAATTTCTTTTTTAAAATTATTATTATACTTTAAGTTTTAGGGTACGTGTGCACAATGTGCAGGTTAGTTACATATGCATACATGTGCCATGTTGGTGTGCTGCACCCACTAACTCGTCATCTAGCATTAGGTATATCTCCCAAAGCTATCCCTCCCCCCTCCCCCTACCCCACAACAGTCCCCAGAGTGTGATGTTCCCCTTCCTGTGTCCATGTGTTCTCATTGTTCAATTCCCACCTGTGAGTGAGAATATGCGGTGTTTGGTTTTTTGTTCTTGCGATAGTTTACTGAGAATGATGATTTCCAATTTTTTTGTCTTTGGTTCTGTTTATATGCTGGATTACATTTATTGATTTGCGTATATTGAACCAGCCTTGCATCCCAGGGATGAAGCCCACTTGATCATGGTGGATAAGCTTTATGATGTGCTGCTGGATTCTATTTGCCAGTATTTTATTGAGGATTTTTGCATCAATGTTCATCAAGGATATTGGTCTAAAATTCTCTTTTTTGGTTGTGTCTCTGCCCAGCTTTGGTATCAGGATGATGCTGGCCTCCTAAAATGAGTTAGGGAGGATTCCCTCTTTTTCTATTGATTGGAATAGTTTCAGAAGGAATGGTACCAGTTCCTCCTTGTACCTCTGGTAGAATTCGGCTGTGAATCCATCTGGTCCTGGACTCTTTTTGGTTGGTAAGCTATTGATTATTGCCACAATTTCAGCTCCTGTTATTGGTCTATTCAGAGATTCAACTTCTTCCTGGTTTAGTCTAGGGAGAGTGTATGTGTCGAGGAATTTATCCGTTTCATCTAGATTTTCTAGTTTATTTGCATAGAGGTGTTTGTAGTATTCTCTGATGGTAGTTTGTATTTCTTTGCGATCCGTGGTGATATCCCCTTTATTGCGTCTATTTGATTCTTCTGTCTTTTTTTATTTATTAGTCTTGCTAGCCGTCTATAAATTTTGTTGATCTTTTCAAAAAACCAGCTCTGGGATTCATTAATTTTTTGAAGGGTTTTTTGTGTCTCTATTTCCTTCAGTTCAGCTCTGATCTTAGTTATTTCTTGCCTTCTGCTAGCTTTTGAATGTGTTTGCTCTTGCTTCTCTAGTTCTTTTAATTGTGATGTTAGGGTGTCAATTTAAAATGTTTCCTGCTTTCTCTTGTGGGCATTTAGTGCTAAAAATTTCCCTCTACACACTGCTTTGAATGTGTCCCAGAGATTCTTGTATGTTGTGTTTTTGTGCTCGTTGGTTTCAAAGAACATCTTTATTCTGCCTTCATTTCGTTATATACCCAGTAGTCATTCAGTAGTAAGTTGTTCAGTTTCCATGTTGTTGAGCGGTTTTGAGTGAGTTTCTTAATCCTGAGTTCTAGTTTGATTGCACTGTGGTCTGAGAGATAGTTTGTTATAATTTCTGCTCTTTTACATTTGCTGAGGAGAACTTTACTTCCAAGTATGTGGTCAATTTTGGAATAGGTGTGGTGCTGAAAAAATGTGTATTCTGTTGATTTGGGGTGGAGAGTTCTGTAGATGTCTATTAGGTCCACTTGGTGTAGAGCTGAGTTAAATTCCTGAGTATCCTTGTTGACTTTCTGTCTCACTGATCTGTCTAATGTTGACAGTGGGGTGTTAAAGTCTCCCGTTATTATTGTGTGGGAGTCTAAGTCTCTTTGTAGGTCACTCAGGACTTGCTTTATGAATCTGGGTGCTCCTGTATTGGGTGCATATATATTTAGGAAAGTTAGCTCTTCTTGATCAATTGATCCCTTTACCATTATGTAATGGCCTTCTTTGTGTGTTGTTTTAGGTTAGGGTCAGGGTCAGGGTCAGGGTCAGGGTCAGGGTTAGGGGTTAGGGTCAGGGTCAGGGTTAGGGGTCAGGGTCAGGGTTAGGGGTCAGGGTCAGGGTCAGGGTCAGGGTCAGGGTGAGGGTCAGGGTCAGGGTTAAGGGTCAGGGTCAGGGTCAGGGTCAGGGTCAGGGTCAGGGTGAGGGTCAGGGTCAGGGTGAGGGTCAGGGTCAGGGTCAGGGTCAGGGTGAGGGTCAGGGTCAGGGTCAGGGTCAGGGTCAGGGTGAGGGTGAGGGTCAGGGTCAGGGTGAGGGTCAGGGTCAGGGTCAGGGTCAGGGTCAGGGTGAGGGTCAGGGTCAGGGTGAGGGTGAGGGTCAGGGTCAGGGTGAGGGTCAGGGTCAGGGTGAGGGTCAGGGTCAGGGTGAGGGTCAGGGTCAGGGTGAGGGTCAGGGTCAGGGTCAGGGTGAGGGTGAGGGTCAGGGTCAGGGTGAGGGTGAGGGTGAGGGTCAGGGTGAGGGTCAGGGTGAGGGTCAGGGTCAGGGTCAGGGTGAGGGTCAGGGTGAGGGTCAGGGTCAGGGTCAGGGTGAGGGTCAGGGTCAGGGTCAGGGTCAGGGTCAGGGTTAGGGGTTAGGGTTAGGGTTAGGGTCAGGGTCAGGGTTAGGGGTTAGGGTCAGGGTCAGGGTCAGGGTCAGGGTCAGGGTCAGGGTCAGGGTCAGGGTCAGGGTCAGGGTCAGGGGTTAGGGGTAGGGTCAGGGTCAGGGTCAGGGTCAGGGTCAGGGTCAGGGTCAGGGTCAGGGTCAGGGTCAGGGTCAGGGTCAGGGTCAGGGTCAGGGTCAGGGTCAGGGTCAGGGTCAGGGTCAGGGTCAGGGTCAGGGTTAGGGTTAGGGTTAGGGTTAGGGTTAGGGTTAGGGTTAGGGTTAGGGTTAGGGTTAGGGTTAGGGTTAGGGTTAGGGTTAGGGTTAGGTTAGGGTTAGGGTTAGGGTTAGGGTTAGGGTTAGGGTTAGGGTTAGGGTTAGGGTTAGGGTTAGGGTTAGGGTTAGGGTTAGGGTTAGGGTTAGGGTTAGGGTTAGGGTTAGGGTTAGGGTTAGGGTTAGGGTTAGGGTTAGGGTTAGGTTAGGGTTAGGGTTAGGGTTAGGGTTAGGGTTAGGGTTAGGTTAGGGTTAGGGTTAGGGTTAGGGTTAGGGTTAGGGTTAGGGTTAGGTTTTAGGGTTAGGGTTAGGGGTTGGGGTTGGGTTAGGGTTAGGGTTAGGGTTAGGGTTAGGGTTAGGGTTAGGGTTAGGGTTAGGGTTAGGGTTAGGGTTAGGGTTAGGGTTAGGGTTAGGGTTAGGGTTAGGGTTAGGGTTAGGGTTAGGGTTAGGGTTAGGGTTAGGGTTAGGGTTAGGGTTAGGGTTAGGGTTAGGGTTAGGGTTAGGTTAGGGTTAGGGTTAGGGTTAGGGTTAGGGTTAGGGTTAGGGTTAGGGTTAGGGTTAGGGTTAGGTTAGGGTTAGGGTTAGGGTTAGGGTTAGGGTTAGGGTTAGGGTTAGGGTTAGGGTTAGGGTTAGGGTTAGGGTTAGGGTTAGGGTTAGGGTTAGGGTTAGGGTTAGGGTTAGGGTTAGGGTTAGGGTTAGGGTTAGGGTTAGGGTTAGGGTTAGGGTTAGGGTTAGGGTTAGGGTTAGGGTTAGGGTTAGGGTTAGGGTTAGGGTTAGGGTTAGGGTTAGGGTTAGGGTTAGGGTTAGGGTTAGGGTTAGGGTTAGGGTTAGGGTTAGGGTTAGGTTAGGGTTAGGGTTAGGGTTAGGGTTAGGGTTAGGGTTAGGGTTAGGGTTAGGGTTAGGGTTAGGGTTAGGGTTAGGGTTAGGGTTAGGGTTAGGGTTAGGGTTAGGGTTAGGGTTAGGGTTAGGGTTAGGGTTAGGGTTAGGGTTAGGGTTAGGGTTAGGGTTAGGGTTAGGGTTAGGGTTAGGGTTAGGGTTAGGGTTAGGGTTAGGGTTAGGGTTAGGTTAGGGTTAGGGTTAGGGTTAGGGTTAGGGTTAGGGTTAGGGTTAGGGTTAGGGTTAGGGTTAGGGTTAGGGTTAGGGTTAGGGTTAGGTTAGGGTTAGGGTTAGGGTTAGGGTTAGGGTTAGGGTTAGGTTAGGGTTAGGGTTAGGGTTAGGGTTAGGTAGGGTTAGGGTTAGGGTTAGGGTTAGGGTTAGGTTAGGGTTAGGGTTAGGGTTAGGGTTAGGGTTAGGGTTAGGGTTAGGGTTAGGGTTAGGGTTAGGGTTAGGGTTAGGGTTAGGGTTAGGGTTAGGGTTAGGGTTAGGGTTAGGGTTAGGGTTAGGGTTAGGGTTAGGTTAGGTTAGGGTTAGGGTTAGGGTTAGGTTAGGGTTAGGGTTAGGGTTAGGGTTAGGGTTAGTTAGGGTTAGGTTAGGGTTAGGGTTAGGGTTAGGGTTAGGGTTAGGGTTAGGGTTAGGGTTAGGGTTAGTTAGGTTAGGGTTAGGGTTAGGTTTAGGGTTAGGGTTAGGGTTAGGGTTAGGGTTAGGTTAGGGTTAGGGTTAGGGTTAGGGTTAGGGTTAGGTAGGGTTAGGGTTAGGGTTAGGGTTAGGTTAGGGTTAGGGTTTAGGGTTAGGGTTAGGGTTAGGGTTAGGGTTAGGGTTAGGGTTAGGGTTAGGGTTAGGGTTAGGGTTAGGGTTAGGGTTAGGTTAGGGTTAGGGTTAGGGTTAGGGTTAGGGGTTAGGGTTAGGGTTAGGGTTAGGGTTAGGGTTAGGTTAGGGTTAGGGTTAGGGTTAGGGTTAGGGTTAGGGTTAGGGTTAGGGTTAGGGTTAGGGTTAGGGTTAGGGTTAGGGTTAGGTTAGGGTTAGGGTTAGGGTTAGGTTAGGGTTAGGGTTAGGGTTAGGGTTAGGGTTAGGGTTAGGGTTAGGGTTAGGGTTAGGGTTAGGGTTCGGGTTAGGGTTAGGGTAGGGTTAGGGTTAGGGTTAGGGTTAGGGTAAGGGTTAGGGTTAGGGTTAGGGTTAGGGTAAGGGTTAGGGTTGGTTAGGGTTAGGGTTAGGGTTAGGGTTAGGGTTAGGGTTAGGGTAGGGTTAGGTTAGGGTTAGGGTTAGGGTTAGGGTTAGGGTTAGGGTTAGGGTTAGGGTTAGGGTTAGGGTTAGGGTTAGGGTTAGGGTTAGGGTTAGGGTTAGGGTTAGGGTTAGGGTTAGGTTAGGGTTAGG
>NW_013171805.1:0-134099 GCF_000001405.40 Homo sapiens
TCTCACTTATACAGATACAATAAGAATTTAGTAGACTGCTCATCTGTTTCTTTTCCCCCTCCTTGAAATTCTATATCAACTAGGCAATACTATATGTCTCTGTCAGTCAGGCTACTCTGATTACTGCTTTAACTCTCCTATTTATCATAGTAACCACAACTACCTTGTCTTTAGCTGTTGGCATCCTGGCATCTAATTACCCCCATTGCATTTAGAAATTCCAGTTCAGTGGCAGTAGCTGCCACTTTAATTTCAGACCTGCAAAGAAGACTGACCACAGAAAATGAGTAGCACTATTACTGGTTTGTAAGGGAAGAGTATGTTTAGCCTGTAAAAGATTGCACAACTCTCTTCCAAAGTGGCTGTACCATAATGTATATCCACTGACAATGAACGAGCATTCTTATTGTTCCATATACTCACCATCAATTGGTATTGTTAGTTTTTTGGATTTCATGCATTCTAATAGATGTGTGGTGGTGTCTCCTTGTTTTGATTTGCATTTCTCTTATGACAAATGATTTGGGGTATCTTTTATATACTTATTTTCCATCTATATCTTCTTTGGTAAAGCTCTGTTCAGGCATTTTGCCTATTTTTAATCGGGTTGTTTTTCTCATTGTTAATTTTATGAATTATTTGTATATTTTTGGATGCAAGTTCTTTACCAGATACGCATTTTGCAAATATTTCCTCCCAGTCTATGGCTTGCCTATTCATTCTCATAACAGTGTTCTTTGTAGTGCAGGTTTTTAATTTTAAAGAAGTCAATTTTATCAATTTTTTTTCTTTCAAGAGTTATGTTTTGGTATTACATATACAAACTCTTACCAAATGTACAGTCAGGTATATTCCTACATTATCAAGAAATTTTTAGTGGTTGGTATTTCACATTTAGGCTTGTGATCTATTTTGAGTCAATTTTTCTGTAACACATAAGGTCAGCATCTAGTTCAAGTTTTTGTATGTTGATTTCCAGTTATTTGGTGTCATTTGTAGCAAGGACTATCCTTTTCCATTAACTTGTCTCTGCACCATTAGTAAAATCAGCTTACAATACATGTATGGATTTTGATATTTTGTGTTTTTAACGAATTGGTCCATTTCACCTAAGTTATGATTATGGGCAAAGAACTATTTATATTCTTGTCTTACTATAATTTTAATGTTCATGAGATCAGTAGTTATAGCCCATCTTTCATTTCTGATTTTTGCTTAGTCTGGCTAGATATTAATCAATTTTATTGATTTTCCTAGAGACAGCTTTTAAGTTCATTGGTTATTCTCTATTATTTTCCTGTTTCTAATTTCATTGATTTCTAGTCCAATATTTGTTATTACTGTTCTTTTTCATTTATCAGGTTTAATTTTCTCTTCTTTTTCTAGTTTGTTAAGGTAGAAGCTTAAATTTCTTATTTGATAAAATGTAAGGTCATCAGTTTTCTTCTGAGCACTACATTTGCTGTATGCAAATTTCCATAATGTGTGTATACATTTTCACTTAATTCAGAATATGGCTATAATTACTCTTAATATTTCTTCTTTGTGTTATTTAGACATATGTCATTGGTTTCTAAATATCTGGAGATTTTCTAATTATGTTCTTTTTACTGATTTCTGTTTAATTTTACTGTGGACTGAGAATATGCATTGTATGATTTTTTTAAATTTTTTGAAGTTATGGTTTATGGTCATAATATGGTCTATTTTTGAGAAAGTTCCATGCAAACTTGAGAATAATAAGTATTCCTTTGTTACTGAATTGAGTATTTTATAAGTGGCAATTAGATCATGTTGACTGACATTGTTCAGGTGCTTCCCTTTGATCTATCAATTACTGATAGAGAGTGTTGAACTGTCCGGATATAATAATGATTTTTTTCTATTTCTCCTTGCAGTTCTGTAAGTTTTTGGCTCATTATTTTGGTCTTCTGTTATTACATAAATATATGTTTGAAGTTTTTATGTTATTTTTTCTTGGAATAGAAAGAATTATCACTTTGCTTGGAGAATTGACCGTTTCATCTTTATGTTATTTCACTCTTTATGCATGATAATATTCCTTGTTCTAAAGTCTACTTCATCTGAAATTTAGGTAGCTACTGTATCTTTCATTTGATGTTAGTGTGGTATATATTTCTCTATCAATTATCTTCTGACATAACCAAATCCTCATATTTAAAGTGAATTTCTTGTAGACAACATGTTGTTGTATCTTTTTTCTTTTGAATTCACTCTGAATTTTTTTCTTTTAAATGATGTGTTAAAGGCATTTAAATAAAATGATTATCCACTTAGTTGAATTAATATATACTATCTTTGTTACTTTTCTTTATTCATTTCAATTACTGGGTTATTTCCTGTCATTTTTATCCTTCTCTGATTTTAATCAAACATTTTGTTTGCTCTTACTTTATCACCTTTCTTAGTGTATCATTAATATTTCCTTAAAAAGTATTTTTAATTGTTGCTTTGGAGTTTACAATATACATTTATTAATGTAAATACATCCTTCAAAAAGTACTATCACTACCACTTCACATGTAGTGAAGGTACCTTATAATACAGTACACCCAATTCTTCATCTCATCCCTCATGAAATTGTTGCCATTCTTTCCACTAATCCATATACAATCATCAAATAAATTGGTACTAAAATTATATTAAAGAGTTATTTTTTAGATTTATTAAAATAAAAAATAAAATATTTTATTTAACTTGATTTATTGCTTCTCCATTGCTTTATTCTTTATCTAGATCTACATGTCTGACCACATGTTTTTAGCACAAATCTTTTTGACAATATTATTGCATTATTTTCGATACAGAAAAAAGAAAGAAATTTTTGTCTGTCTTCTTACGAGTTTTCTCAATATCATTATTTTTACTGACAGTGTAGAAAATTATCTTTTAATTTCAAAACTCATTGTTAATGCCACCTAAATTTTTGGTACTGCTGTCAACTGGAGAAGACTATATCAGGTTTCTTTTGTTTAACAGCAGTAACATTTCAGGGAGTCTCATTTTTTTATTGTTCGTAACTAACTTACATACTCTTACAATTCATAATTTTTAACCAATATGGGGTTTTTATATCTTAATTGTACTGAAGTATTATGAGTTTTCTTTATTTTTATCAGTATTGATGCTTCATGAGGAGGCATATGTTGTAGACAGGCATAAACGTACAATTTTAAACATAGATACGATTGTTATTTATTGTACTGTTACAAGTTGACATACTTAAATCATATAAATCTGGATAATTTTATTTTGTACAATTCCTATTTCTGAAGCAATGAAAATGTAGTATACTTATGATTATATAATCTGCATTATCAACAGATTGAGAACCTCTATTTTTGAACTAGCAAATGAAATCCAAATGTTTCTTTCACAGTTTTACGCATTGGATCCTTGAAAATTTTTCCAAGGATAATACCTAGCTTCACATTTTCAAACCCTATCTTTCCTCAACAACCCACCCAGTTGCTGGACACTGAAATACATTCTTATCAGCACTGACCCTGCTACATTTTTTGTATTGTTGGATGAGTCAGACCAGTGGGTGGGTAGAAATATTCTTGGACATCAATCTATCATCAGGGTGGCTAGCAATAACATTACTATTCATGGATGGAACTGCACATCAGATAAAAATAGCCCTATAAATCAAATTAAATATTTATGAAATTTGTATTTTTCTTATTTAAGTCCTAAAAGTACCATTTTCAGAATCACCAAACAAACAAGGAAATGTAGGCTAGGTCTAGTGGCTCACACCTGTAATCCAAACACTTTGGGAGGCCAAGGTGAGAGAATAACTTGAGTCCAGGAGACCAGCCTGGCAACATAGGGAGATCCTGTCTCTACAAACATTTTTTGAAGAAACTAGCCAGATGTGGTGATGTGCACCTGCAGTCCCAGCTACTCAGGAGGCTGAGATGGGAGGATTGCTTAAGCCCAGGAATTTGAGGCTGCAGTGAGCTGTGATTACACCAATGCACTCCCAGCCTGGGCAACAGAGTGAGAGCCTGTCTCAAGAAAAGAAAAAATAAAAGTGAAGGCATATCTGATTAAATTAAAATAGTATTAATCTGTGCTGCATAAAATATCTTACCTTTTCAGATTTATAAATCTGAAATATAAATTTATGTATACACACATGCACACACACGTGTGTGTATGCATATATATATATATATATATATATATATATATATATATATATATATATATATATGACTATGAGAATGTATTTCTAGGGTGTCTCCCAAGGTCTTGGAAGAGGCTCTGTGAATGTGACAAGGCATAAATACTTATCTTAATAAGCTTCTTAATACATTTACCTCTGTTTTGTAGAAGTGAGTTATATATTTAAGAATGAAAATGAACTGAATGGGAGATAAATATTCTAAGCAACTGGTACAAGATGCACAGAGACTCATGGGAAACCCTTGAAGAAAAGTTCATTTATAGGGAACTATGAGTATTTCTATGTGTAAAATGTTTAAGAAGATAGAGGGTGCCAAATCAAATCTTCAAATAATTAAATACATATCTCTATCTATCTATCCATCTATCTACCATCTATTTAATCTATTTATTGTCTAAGTAGCAGAATAGTATAAGATTGGAAAGTTAAATATAAAACTGTTTAATGCCATATGTTGGCAATAGAGGCATGATATTTTTCCAGACATAATTTGTGTCTTTATGGGTAAAAAATACTGACAAGTTAGAAATTTTCTAATAGTTTCCATCTCTTTCCAGAATCTGAATCTTTATTCATAGTATTAACAGGGAATAGTAAGTCAAACAAATTCCATATTCTGTTTCATAGATAACTCTTTCGGTGGGTTTGTTAGACAATGGTTTATTATATCATTGAAAGGGCAGGAAATAACTTTTTTTTATTTCTATGTTTTGGAGAGTTTTTTTCAACGAGTATACTAAAGTATTGTTAACTTGTGAAGGAGTTTGGCTTGATGTCTAGGACAATGAGGAATCTTTGGGCTCTTCTAAGCAAGGTAATGATAAAATTACTATTAATTTTAAATCTTTTTTTTTTTTTTTTTTTTTTTTGACGGAGTCTCGGTCTGTCACTCAGGCTGGAGTGCAGTGGCGCAATCTCGGCTCACTGCAAGCTCCGCCTCCTGGGTTAACACCATTGTCCTGCCTCAGCCTCCCGAGTAGCTGGGACTACAGACACCCACCACCACGCCCGGCTAATTTTTGTATTTTTAGTAGAGGCGGGGTTTCACCGTGTTAGCCAGGATGGTCTCGATCTCCTGACCTCGTGATCTGCCCGCCTCGGCCTCCCAAAGTGCTGGGATTACAGGCGTGAGCCACCACGCCCGGCCGAGTTTTAAATATTAAAACCACTGTTTCAGTAGGTAGGAGAAGGATGACTTGCACAAATATAGTTGGCGTAGGCTGAACAGTTAGACACAATTTTCAAATTTATTTAAAATGATGGGTAAGGGTGGGAGTTTATGTTATTTTCATAGAACATAAGTAAGTTGAGCTGGATCTGAACTCCTCAGCCAACTAACTAAGCTAATTATACTGCTGATCGTTAGCTTATTGGGTACTCTTCACTGTACAAAAGTTTTCTACTGAGAAAGGATTCATGACTGTGAGCAGTGGCTCACCTGCCAATCTTAGCGCTTTGGGAGGCTGAGGTGGGAGGATCACTTGTGCTCAGGAGTTCGAGACTAGCCTG
The DNA here is from genome assembly GCF_000001405.40 of Homo sapiens. Lineage (NCBI taxonomy): Eukaryota > Metazoa > Chordata > Mammalia > Primates > Hominidae > Homo > Homo sapiens. The sequence continues at coordinate 5,726 of NW_013171805.1, forward strand.
GGCAATATGACAAAACCCATTTCTACAAAAATAAATAAATAACCCACAAAGACAAAAATTAGCTGGGTATGGTGGCATGCACAAGTAGTCCCAGCTACTTGGAGGGCTGAGGTGAGAGAATCACTTGAGCTCAGCGGGGGGAGGCTGCAGTGAGCCAAGATTGCACCACTGCACTCCAGCCTGAGCAACAGAGTGAGACCCTGTCTCAATAAATAAATAACAATGAAAAATATTGTGAGTTTTTTAATTGTAAAATTTATGAAGTTTCTACCAAAATTTATGGAAAATATTGTCTATGGAAAATCTCTCTTGTAGAAATTTTTTTCTAAAGATTTATGTTTTATAATTTTATTTTTTTCTGTAAGCTTATATAATTCATTTTTCTATATTTTATAATGTAGAATTCATTGGTCCTTAGGCATATTACCATAATAGACTCATGTATAAAATTACCTTATAAATTTTTTTCTTTTCATTTTGACTCCTCACCAATAGCAATGCCCCATGACTAAAATATTACCATGTTTTTCTTAAAATAACAAACCTTGAAAGAAGAATGATTTTTAAATTTCATAAAACCGAGTAATTCAGAATTTGTATAGCTTTCACAGGGTATAAGTTGCCGTGAGTTTTCTCTACAGCTTTTACTTTGTGTGGTTCAAATGGTAAGTCAACCCAGACTTTGAAGCTGCATTTCCCCTGTTGACAATTAATCACCAGAGTATTCCCAAAATATCACTTTACTTACCTCCTCATGCTCTGTATGAATCATAGCTCCAGAAAGGAAACATCAACACATTTCACTTATGGGATCAAATGATTAAAATGTTAGTGAAACCCTAAGATTGCATCTAATTGAATTTAGAATGTGTTATGCTTAATCTAGAACATGGTTTTCCCAATATCAATACATGAGCTGTCATTTGCCTTTTCCTGTCTTCTATTTTCGTTATTGTTGTCCAGGTAGAGAAGTGCTGAGGTCTGAATTTCTATTCCCTACCCCACCCTCAATATTTCTGGACTTTGAAGTTCAAATATAATTTACAGATAACATCATCTTTTATTAACAGACAGCATCAAGCCCTGTACATAGTTTAATCCTAGTGCATAAAAGGAAACATAGGTGGATCAGAATATTATATTATTACTGCTGTTATACAGTGTTATGCTTTGAAGTAACCAACAATTAGACCTGCCAAGCTTCATTCTGGGTGAGCTGCTGTCAGAGAAAATAGCAATATCTCTCACTTTAGGTCAAAGCTAATATATGAAATTGTAACTATAGCTATCCACTGGAATTGAGTGGCATTTATTTTCAAGAGTGTGTTTGTAATTTAAAGCTGTTACATAATTTTGAAAAATAGAAATATATGGAGAAAATGCAGAAAAACATTATAACAGTTTTGAGATACCTAATGTTTAAGCATGATTTTTTTGTGTGGTTTTACCATGCTGATCAAAATGGCCTCTTTTCCTGATGTTTATCAACTAGCTTATTGGCACTTGCAAGTTAACCAGATACTAATGGTGAAAATAGGAAAAACTGTGAGATTTGATTTTGGCATATGCAACGCCCATGTGACCAAATATTTTATGTTTGGAAAATAGTACCAGTAATACTTCCTTCCTTCTCTTCCCTAAATGCGTAACATGTGTGCCTGCACATGCACATGCACGTGCAAACACATTTACTTGTTATAATGCTTGAGAATACAGTCTAATTGATATATGGAAAATATGTTTCTTAATATTTGTAGCACATTTAACCTCTACATATAATGACATTTCAAAACTCTTCAGGGAACAGAAAATATTCATTAGCAGAACCTTGTAATTACTCAGCTTGAAAGTTGTAGACTTAATGGAATTTGCTTTTGTTTTTTCTGCATTCCCATCACCAATACATCTCACCAGAATGAAATCCAATATGTTAAATGATATTAACAGATCTATTTCCTGAATAAGGCTATAAAGAATTATGAATTTCATATTATTAAAAATAGTAATTGCAGTGTTGCTTGTTTCTAGAATGTGTTTCACACTTACACATTATACAGAGCTTTGATAAAATGTGGCACGATATCATTGTATTACTGCAAAATTATGTTTTCATCTGATATGAAAAATTTCCAGCGATTGAGGATCTCTTATTTTTCTCCACCCCCTTGAAATTACAAGACAATTAAGAAAAAGAAGTTGATACAAAGTTTGGTTTCACTCATGTCAAGTGACGAAGGAATTTAATGCTTAAAATGCCCTGACACAGAAACAGCTATTTTCAGAAAAAGGAAAACAAGTGTGAGTATGACTTCTTTAGAAAATCAAGCATATAACTACTCTAATTAGGTAGATCTTAGAAATGTATATGCCTCATATTTCATTGAAGGCCTCAATAATAAAATTAGCTCTAGTTCATATAATACTCTCGGTGTTTAGTATCACCTTGTTTAAAGTGAAACATATTATTCAAAAATATAGTAACTGTATTGGCTATAGTAAAAACTAGATTTGTTGCTAATTTCTATGTCCCTTATCCTCTTTTTTAATATTATTTCATTTAATTCTCAACAATAGTGTTAGGTGGTATTATTAATTTTCATCTATTATGAATTTGGGGAAACTAAGGCATAGAAAGATTGAGCAGCTTTTTAAATATCCTGATTCCTTCTTCAAATGAACAAATATTCGGGTTGCTTTTTACTTTTAATGGCATTGTGCTGAAATGTAAAACAAAGCTCACTTCCCCTTCAGAATGTTCAATGCTTCTTTGGATACTGCAGTAATGTCACTAGGAAGATTTACAATGGATATACTGCATACCTAATACATATTTTTCCAAGCTAATGAAATGTATAATGTTTTCAAAATCAGGTCATTTTCTTCCTCTCTCTCCCTTAAAGCGCTTACTTTTTCTTTCGGGTATTCAGACTTTCTATTCATGTCTGCCAATCTCCTGTTTATTTATTATGACTTGTTTCAGTGGTCATCTGGGTAAGAAGGATGTCCTTGAGATGGTCCCCTAGGTTCAGGTAATTACTTTCTTCTTTTGCTACTATTGTATGCAATACTCTTCATGCCCTTTATTTATATATGTATGTATACACACATACACACATACACACACATCAACACATATTACATGTTTTGGTCTCCTAATAAACTTTGAGATTTTGTAGAGCAGGCACTAAATCTTAGTCTTCATTTTATTCTTAGGGCCAATACTGTAACTGGTGCACTGGAAACACCCAATGAATATTTTTCGAATGAGTAAATAAATGATTAAACTCAGTGACCGTAATGCTTTGATGCAGGTAGAAGGTTGCTTTTCCCCATGAAATTTCACTAACATGCAATTAAAATATACTATTTGATATTGTGGGAAAAGAATATAAAGTTTTAGTTGGACAGAATGAAAAACTATATACTATTTTATATTTACATGCAAGTAAATGTTGGCCTTCCCCTTCCCCTTTCATTCACTTCCTCCCCCAACCTTCCTCTTAGATGCAAAGAAGAATGATGTTCTGTGATTTCAGGTTTTAGGAGGTTGTTTATTCCAAGTTTAGCTTAGTGAGACACACTATCTACTTCTCCATTGTTGCTTGTTTTCTCTCAGTTGTAATATCTGCTACTAGTGACTCTAGTGGAGTCACTAGACTCACCAATACAGAATCCTGCAAGCTGTCCTCACAGAAATGACCCAAACACAGGATGGACATGTTTTCTCATGTGTAAGCGTATATATTAAAGATGTCCAATATCCAGGTTTCTAAACACACATTTCCAACAGAGCACACAATTGTAATTAGCATTGCAAATACTTTACTTTGAATTCACTGTGAATTCTTTGTATTTCCAAAAAGTGATTTTGTTTACACTATAAATTCAGTGTCAGCTAAAAATAAAAAAAGAAGCTTTCTGACTTTTTCAAACCATTGTTGACTTTTAACAACAACAGTTTGCCAGCTTCAGAGCAATATATTAGAACAAAATACAATTTCTATTCTCACACTCCTTACTAGCTTTTCAAATGTTTTGGAGAAGTCTGCTGACAGATGATTAGTCAAACTGGGAACCAACTGCTTCAACTATTTAATCTAAATGATAAGTGATTGCTTTGATTGGGATACATTTTAAATAAATATGTAAGTTCCTGAAATGCATACTATAATTTATTGTAATATAGTGTCCTAACCCACATGTGTTATATGGAGCTGTGTAGATATATGTATATATAGGTATATATCTATATATGGGTATATTTGCACAAAGTCAGTGTTCCTTGACATTAAACAAAGATCTTACTAATTTTTTGTTTGTCCCAAATATATGTCCCATTAAAATTTGCAAAGTGTTAGTAGTAAGAAATATGCTTCAGCCTGGGAATAGTGGTTGATGCCTGTAATCCCAGCACTTTGGGAGGCCAAGGTGGGCAGATCACCCGAGGTCAGGAGTTTGAGACCAGCCTGGCCAACATGGTGAAACTTCATCTGTACTAAAAATACAAAAAATTAGCCAGGCATGGTGGCTCACACCTGTAATCCCAGCTACTCAGGAGGCTGAAGCAGGAGAATCGCTTGGATTCAGGAGGCAGAGGTTGCAGTGAGATGAGATCACACCACTGCACTCCTGTCTGGGTGACACAGTGAGACTCCGTCTCAAAAAAAAAAAAAAAAAAAAAAAGAAAAAGAAAAAAAAAGAAATATGCTTCATTTTCACAATATGCTTACTATTTTAAACCTAATTTCCTTGCTAAAATATATAATGTATGATTAATAAGGTTGAAACCTAACGTTGATGTAGGGACAAAAGTAAACTCACATATGTAAGAAGGAACAAAACTATTGTTTCAAGGTTCAAGGTTTTAAAACAGGTGTCCTTGCAAACTTAAGGAGTCAACAAGCAAGGTTCTAAAGTTTTATGCAATACTTTAGTCATCCCTTATTCTTGGGGCATATATTCCAAGACTCCCACTGGTTGCCTGAACTTGGATTGTACTAAACCGTGTATGTGTTTTTTTCTTATACATACATACCTATGATAAACTGTAATTTAAAACCTAGGCACAGTAAGAGATTAACAACAATAACTGATAAACTAGAACAACAGTAACAATATGCTATAATAAAAATGATGTGACTGAAGTCTTTCTCTTTCAGAATTAGCTTATGGCACTACAGTGCTCAGATATTTTCAAACTGCAGTTAACTGAGGGTTACTGAAACTGCAAAAAGTGAAATTGTGAATGAGTATGTGTGTTTTCTCTGATAGAGAAACATTTGTCCATATTTTCATGTATTTATTACCCCAAAATCAATATGAACCACAGCAAAAGTTGCATGTTTTAAAAATTATTTTACCCTAAGGGGTTGAAAATTTCTGTCCACACACAAAAACCTGCACAGGGATGTTTATAGAGGCTTGTTTCATAATTGCCAAATCTTCAAAGCAACCATCATGTCCTTTAGTGGGAGAAAGGATAAATAAACCGTGATAAATACAGATAATGGAATATTATTCGGTATTAAAAAGAGATGAGCTACCAAGCCATGAAAAGACATAAAGAAAGCAGAAATACATATTACTAAGTGAAATAAGTATAAAAAGGCTACATGCTGTATGATTACAGCTATATAACGTTTTGAAAAAGATAAAACTAAGGTGATGGGAAAAGGATCAGTGGTTGCCAGGAGTTCGTAGGGAAGGAGGGATGAGTATGGGGAAGAGAAGTAGCTGAATAACACCAAAGATAGTCCTCATCTTACCACATTTCAATTACACTTTTTCAACATTATGATGAGTTTATCATAAGTCAAAGAGAATCTATATAATGGTAGATACATATCATTATACATTTTTCCAAACCTATACAATGTCCAAAACCAAGAGTGAACTCTAATGTAAACGACGGACTTTGGGTGATAATAATGTGTCAATGTAGTTTCCTCAGTGGAATCAAATGTACTGTTCTAGGGGAGGATGTTGATAACGGGGGAGGCTACGCATATGTGGGGATGGGTATCTCAAAAATCTTGCTAGCTGTCTCTCAGTGTTACTGTGAGCCTGAAACTGCTCTAAAAATAATGTCTATTAAAATTATTTTATTTTCTTAATTCCAGAACCTTGGTAACAATATCACTGGTGACTGAATCAACGTGTAAAATATTTTCTTACTGATGTTATCTTTTGGCAGAAATTTCAGGAATTTTCTTTTAGTAAATAAAAGGTGAAACTATTGAATGTACACCGGGTAACAATTCTGAAATTATCCCATAGCTGTGTTGGTACAAACCAGTGAAGATATTTATAGAGCACACAGTAGATTTTAATAAAGCTCATAAACTTCACATTCCTGCACAAATGTTAAAAAAAAAAAAAAAGTCACTACATTTAGGCTCTGTTGCTGAGATTCTGAATCCTGCAAATAGCAAGTCTTCTCTGGTTCTTTGAGCTCTGTTTTTGATGACTTCACCCTGGAGGTAACAGCTTTCCTAAGGCCTGACATGCAGGCCTGCTGCATTGCAAACTCCCTCTGCTCATTTTTGGCAGGTTGTGCTGATTTATGGGGCTATTTGATTTATTTAATGTACCATGCCTTTGATTGCATATACTCTATAGCAGTCACTCAAAATGCAAACAAACACATCATATGTTCTTTAATTACTCCCATCCCCCTTATTATCAATCACTGCCAATATCAGCAGAATGGCTGTGATTCATGCTATAAAATTAAGGTCAGCAAACTTGGGTTTTGCAGAAGTGAATAGCAGCAATTCTGTTTATATTCTTTAATGTTTCAATTCTAAAACTCATTATCAGAAAAATGGTATTTCAGATCAGTCTTGTTAGAAGAATGGGATGGGAAAAAAGATATAACAGTTGGGCAAAGAGAAGGAAAGCAAATGTAGCACTAGGGAAAAAGTTGTAGAAGAAAGTAAAAAAAAAAATAAAGATGAGAAGATAGTAGCTCTTAAGGATATTCATTCTGACTTATGAAAGACTGTAATGTTTAGCACACACAGACACATACACAAACACATGAACTTGTAAAATTCTCAAAGGTCCAGTTTTTATTCAAAATTCCTATACTTCAACTTCTTGAATCTCACTCCTTTTTTTTTCAAGTTCCTCATTTCTCTCCCTTAAAAAATGGATGCTAACCATTTTAAGCTTAGTAATTTTGTACATGCTTTTCTGGAAATACTACAAATATGATCAATGTCTGTGATCTCTTCAGTGCTCTACTCTTGTGGGAAGCTTCTTTCCAACTTGGTTCCTGTCCATACCCACGTAAAATATTAAAGAAAGAAGGATAGAAATATAGATTAAAAGAAGACCTGAAGTCGAAGGAAGGGACTAATTGTTGAGAGATTTGAAATGCAACCAATTTTCCATCAGATGTTTTATCGGTACTCTGTAGTTCTATTCCGTCCCAGTTTTCCATAAATTTATAGATAAAAAGAATATTTTATATTGCATTTTGTATGCATATATGCATACATACATATCACTTAAATATATATATATATAAAATTGCATGTTATGCACACTTTAAAATCTTTAAAATATTGAATGCTTAATTACTTAGGACAAAATAGCTTACATAGGAAACAATTATTTCGGACAGAATAATTTAGGAGACAATAGCATTTTTGTGCTGTTGCAGAGATGATAAAGAACTTCTGGTTTTATATGTAACTCTAAAACTGCAGGATAAATAGGTACGTAATACAAATGGCAGTTGCCTCACTGCAATTTTCTGAGCTGTGTTGCTAGTCTGACACTCCTGAAAATTAATATTTCAGACATCTCTGTAATTGTCCAGAGGGCCTGGAGTGCCTTCAAATTATATTCCCCCTCTATTTTAATCAACCATGTTAGTAATTTACTTTTCATTAGTTTATTGATAATTCTATAGGGAAAGTTTGCTAATCACTGTGTAAAATATAATTTTCAAACAGCCAAAATAACTGCCATAAAATATGGAAACTGTCTTAGTTTGTTTTCTCTTGCTATGAAAGAATACCACAGACTGGGTAATGTATAGAGAAGAGAAGTTCGTTTAGCTCACATTTTCAGAGGCTAGAAAGTCCAGGAGCATGGTGCTGGCATCTTGTGAGGGCCTTCTTACTGTTTCATAAGATGGCAAAGGGCATCACATGGCAAGAGGCAAGACCATGCCAACTCAGTCTCCCTTCCTCTTCTTATAAAGTTACAAGTCTTATCATGGGGGTTCCATTTTGATGAATGTATCTAATTCTAATTACCTCCTGAAAGCCCCACCCCCATAAACCATCAACATATGAATTTGAGGATATTTCCAATTCATAAAATTTGAGAGGCACATTCAAGCCATAGAAGAAACCAATATTTATCAATAAATTATATATCCCAATGTTTACATACATCGCATTTATACACCACAATAATAAATATTGTAATAAGATTTATTGACTCTGTTCCTATTTATCAGTAAAATGAGAGGCAGAAAAGTTAACAAAGGCAGAAAAGTAACTGACTGTGATGGGTCACTCCACTAAGGGAATGGGAGACACCATTGCCCCCAGCCATCTCTGAGTACAGGTTTATACTTCTTTCTGTCTACATTATGGTTCTTTAAGGATGCATGGCCTAGCAGGAAGATACTGTACAAATGTGAAAAACAAAAGGTATCTGCCAAATTTTGAGTAACTATTTTTAAGTGAAGAAACTTACCCAGAAGTTTCAAAATTGCTTGCTAAGAAAATTGAGTGATTTTGTGATGGGCAATGAATTGTCCATTTACAAAAATCAGCAGATGTTTCTGAAGCCAGTAAAAAACAGAAAGTACACTTCAAAAAGTCATAGTCAAAGTAGCAAAGTAAGTTTGAAAAGGGCAGGTTGATTTTCTATTTTTATAGCCCTTCTCTTAAGAAGACTCATTTTATTTTTTTTTATTCTACAACATACCTCTGATTTTTGATTTTGAAAGCATTCAGAGGAGATCAGTTCTTCAAGTGAAAATTGTCACTTTAAGAATATAGATGATTTATCAGGTGCAGAATTTTTTATTTCCTTCAGAATAGCTGATGAGGTGAGATTCTTTCCTAACAACATCTTACAGATTAGTATCAAAAGCCTGAACAATACTATTGAAATCAAGGACATTGCACAGGAAAGCTATCAATTGTTATGGAATAGATAATGTGTTTTCTTGCAAAGCAAGAAAATAACTATTATCTGGATGTTATTAATCTTCCTTGAAGCATTTTAACATTCCAGTGTGCTGTGTTAAACTATTTTCTTTTTTTTAAGGAAACACAAAAGTTTCCTGATTTATTGTCAAATTGCAAGTTCAATCAAGGGTATTGAATTAACTATTTTCTAATAAATCATGCTATAGTTTAAACCATGGGATATAAATATGTTTTAAAACTGTCCCTTTATGTGGTAAAAAGGAGTTAGACTGTTGAAAAAAATAGCAGTCCTATTTAGCAGCTAAAGTGAAATGTTTATATGTACACATGCATATATGCATTTTGTTTTCTAAGCTAAAATGTACCTAGGACAAATTGGAAATAAAACATTTTAAAGAAGTTCTTGTTAAGCAAATAGAAATATGTTTTTAATACTACCTAGTTTTTTCATTTCCCCTTGATAATTTTCATTTATTGGCAGAGGTGCTTGAAAGAATAAATCATGAGTATACTATTGCTGCTATAAACCACTTTGATTATAATGTTATCTTAGCTTTTATATGCACTTTAAAATTATAAATATTTAGGCATATCATTTTTACATTTATCTAAAATTTGATCTAATATATTTTTCATCATATATGCCTAATGCAATGACAGCCATGCATTTTTTAACAAGTTGAGATCCTATCTTTTGAATTATGAATTTTCCCTATTATTTTACTAAAGTATGTTTGTTTTATAGTTAACAATTCTTCATCAATTGGCATTATTTACATTTGATGCTGCTCAACAATTTGGTTGTTTTTTATTCACTTAAGCACTATCTTACACAGTGTACATTTTATTTGATTTGAAGATTTTTTTCAAGTCTTGAATGCTTGGATTCATTCAGCATTCAATATCAGCAGATTAATGAAAGTGATAGATTATGCATGTTCATTCATTCCTTGCAGCCTATTATCTAATGAGGGTGGGAAGGTATGCTAGTAGATTAGATAATCGTTTGTCATTTCAAAACATGGATTTATTCATTTACTCAGAACACATTTTTAAGCATTGTTAGACCCTGGGTACAAAAAAGTGGTTAAAATACATTTCCTGAGTTAATAGTTTTGAAACAAACATGTCTATGAAAATTACAATATAGTGTGTTAAATATTAATGGAATTGTATAGGGTGCAATGAAGGCACAGAAAAGAAATTCTCAATTCTGTCTGCATGAGTTAAGGAGCTAGGCAATTCTGAAATTGAGGGCTGGAGACTGTGTCAGAATATGCCATGCAGGTCAGTGTAAGAAGTCAGGAAGAAGGAGCAACATACCTAATGACAGTGAATAAATCTAAGCATAAATAAATCTGTGTAAATTCATCATCAAGTGAACTCTTCTACACGGGATGTTGATGAGTGTTTATTAAATGGTGAAATAAATGATTAAGTGAAATAACAATCACTTAATCCTAAACAATGCATCGTTGGTTAAAGGAGGACAAGCAATAATCAACTGTCCTGAAAACTGTTTTAAGAACCTACCTGACACCAGTAACATTATACAGGTAGATGACTTATTTCCCACCATTTAAGTCCTGAATTTTTAAAATTTTCTTTTGTAGGCACTAGACCAATGGATCAGGATAGAGAACTCAAAACTAAAGCCAAATACTTACAATCAACTGATCTTCAACAAAGTATACAAACATATAAATTGGGGAAAGGACACCCTATTCAATAAAAAGTGCTGGGAAAAATGGGCAAGTCACATATAGAAAATAAAACTGGATCCCCAGCTCTCACCTTATACAAAAATCAACTCAAGATGGATGAAAGACTTAAATCTAAGACCTAAAACCATAAAAATTCTGGAGGATAACATCAGAAAAACTCTTCTGGATATTGGCCTAGGCAAATAATTCATGACTAAGACCCCAAAAGCAAATGCAACAAAAACAAATAAATGGGACCTAATTTAACTTAAAAGGTTCTGCACAGCAAAATAAATCATCAGTAGAGTAAACAGGCAACACACAGGGTTGGAGAAAATATTCACAAACTATGCATCTGACAAAGGTTTAGTATCCAGAATCTACAAGGAACTCAAACAAGTCAGCAAGAAAAAAACAAAAACAAAAACAAATAATCCCATCAAAAAGTGGCCAAAATACATAAATAGAAATTTCTCAAAAAAAGATATTCAAACAGCCAACAAACATGAAAAAATGCTCATATCACTAACCATCATGGAAATTCAAATTAAAACCACAACGAGATAGTACCTTAATTCTTCAAGAATGACCGTAATTACAAAGAGTAAAACCAATAAATATTGGTGTCAATGTGAAGAAAAGGGAACATTTTTGTATTGCTGGTGGGAATTCAAATTAATACAACCACATGGAAAACAGTATGGAGATTCCTTCAAGAACTTAATAAAAGTAGAACTACCATTTGATTCAGCAATCTAACTACTGGATACCTACCCAAAGAAAAAGACGTCATTACATGAAAAAGACAAGGGTACACGCATGTATATAGCAGTAAAATTTGCAATTGCAAAGAAATGGAACCAACTTAAGTGCCCATAAACCAATCAATGGATAAAGAAAATATAGTATATATACACCATGTAATACTACTCACCCATAAAAAGTATCAAAATAATGTCTTTTGAAGCAATTTGAATGGAACTGGAGGCCATTATTGTAAGTGAAGTAACTCAGAAATGGAAAAAAAAATTATGTATGTTCTCACTTATAAGTGGGAACTAAGCTATGAGGACAGAAAGACATATAATGGACTTTGAGGACTTGGAGTGGGAAGGGTGGGAGGAGATGAGGGATAAAGTACAAGATACTGGATAGAGTGTACACTGCTCAGGTGACAGGTGCATTAAATCTCAGAAGTCACCACTAAAGAGCTTATCCATGTAATCAAAAACCACCTGTACCCCCAAAACTGTAAAAATTAAAAAAAATAATATTTTATTTTGAAGCATCAATATGCTGAGATATTTTGTATGTTAAAATGTCTAGGCATACTGATGAATGACAAATGGATGCATTTTTCTTGGGACACTAATCAAACAAGTGAAGCAAATGAATAGGTTATTATAATTATATTACATATCTTAAAACATATTACTGTTACTTTAGTTTGTACCTATTTTTAGAGAACTGTAAAATCTTAGTTGAACAATTTGCACAATAAATCTGCATATAAACATGGTAAGTGTATTGGGGTAAAGGTGTGTGTAGAACAAGTAATCAGTCCAGGTACTATGCTACAGCTTGGCATTATCCACCAAATTACACATACCCAATTTGCTTTCCTCGGTAGAGATAAAAATACTGCAATGAAATTATGTAAGGTGAGATTAAAGAAAATAAACCCTAAGACATTATGGCAGTGGGTGGTCACAGAGAGAAACTCAGAAGACAGATCTTGATGTCCAGGGTACCAACCTTCAAGAAGTTCCTAGTCTAATGTGAGAGTCTAGCGTGAAAGACAATTATAGAAATAAAATTTACAATTTACAATTAGAATATATAGTATGAGGCAGTTCAGGATGAATTGAAGGCAAGTATTAGGAATCTATGACCGAAATTGGAAGTATTGAATATTAAGTTGGTGTAAAATTAATTGCTGCTTTGGACTGTGAATTTTAACACGTTGTTATTAATAAAAATAGGAACGATTATAATCGACACATTGTTCCCAATGAGAAATAAGTTTGTTTATGCCTGTAGTATAAAAATTCGTATTTCGGGATTTGACGAACTTTTGGAAAGCGTTTTCTGCATCCTGCTGGTTGTGAAAGTGTTTTCCCTGTAAAAAGTTGTTGAGATGCTTGAAGAAGTGGTAGTCTGTTGGCGAGAGGTTAGATGAATATGGTGGATGAGGCAAAACTTTGTAGCCCAATTTGTTCAACTTTTGAAGTGCTAGTTGTGCGATGTGTGGTCGGGCATTGCTATGGAGAAGAATTGGGCCCTTTCTGTTGACCAATGGCGGGCTGCAGGCATTGCAGTTTTGGGTGCATCTCATCGATTTGCTGAGCATGCTTCTCAGATGTAATGGTTTCACCCAGATTCAGAAAGCTGTCGTGGATCAGACTGGTAGCAAGCCACCAAACAGTGACTATGACTTTTTTTGGTGTAAGTTTGGCTTTGGGAAGGGCTTTGGAGCTTTTTCTCGGTCCAACCACTGAGCTAGTCATTGCCAGTTGTCGTATAAAAACCACTTTTCATAGCACGCTACAATCTGATCAAGAAATGGTTCATTGTTAGGTAGAATAAGAAAAGACAACGCTTCAAAAGGACGATTTTTTAGCTTTTCAGTCAGCTCGTGAGGCATCCACGTATCGAGCTTTCTCATCTTTCCAATTTCCCTCAAATGTCTAACATAGGAGGGTCAACTTTGAGTTCTTCCGCAACTTCTTGTGTAGTTGTAAGACAATCAGCTTCGATGATTGCTCTTAATGGGTTGTTTCCAACTTTCGATGGCCCGGCCACTAAGCTCCTCATCTTCAAGGCTCTCCTCTTCTTTGTAAAACTTCTTGAACCATCACTGCGCTGTCCGTTGGTTAGCAGCTCCTGTGCCAAATGCGTTGATGTATCCGCTGCTTTACGACCCATTTTGAACTTGAATAAGAAAATCGCTCGAATTTGCTTTTTGTCTGACATAATTTCCACAGTCTAAAATAAGCATAAACAGTAAGTAATAAGTCATTAGCAAAAAAATAAAGCAAGAAATGCCCATTAAAATGATGTATAACAAAACCACATGTATTAAAGAATAATTTACATTTATTTAAGTATTCCAATATCAGATGGGAAAAACCGAATAATGCTAAAAACCCAGATATTTTTGCACTAACCCAGGAAAAGCTCAATGATGGAGATGTAGATTTAAGAATAACCTGCATATAAATTGCATATAAAATGACTGTCTCTGTGTCTCCCAGAGTTATTGTTGCACAATCATTTCATATTACATGTACGAATTTGTGATTTTGCTTGGGATCATTTCTTATAAATTAAGATAAATACAACATAGTCATACTTTAAAAATATTTTTAAACAGAGTAAGCAACTCAGTATTCTCTACGATGCGCTCATCAAGGCTGTGACAAAAGATGATGGATTGTAGTTTCCTGGCATTGCTATTAACATACAGTAGGCCACATAAACAATTCTGATTATTTGAGGTTACTTGAAGTTAGGTCTATTTGCCATATTCAAATAATATGACATACTATTTACCTAATCTCTGTATATGTATTATTGGTTAAATTTAAGGAGATTTAATTGAATTAAACTGAGTGTCTTGGCATGTATTTTTTCTTCTTTTTTTTTTTTTTGATTCTTACACATTTCTGAACACGTAATGTAGGACTAGGTTTCCTGCTTTACACACAATGGACGGATTGCCAATTATAATTCAGAAACTTTTAATTAGACACTTTACATGAATTGGAACTCCACACACAATGGCAAGACACGTTGTCATTTAGGAAACATTTTTGGTCCCTATTACCCCCATAGAATCACAGTACCCAGGATCTGCAACAAAAGCAAGAGTTGTGGGAGGAAAAGGGACAGCCACTTTGAGGTGATATAGTTGATCTTTGAACAATATGAATTTTAACTACATGGGTCCACTTATATACGATTTTCTTCTGCCTCTGCCAGCCTTGAGAGAGCAAGACCAACAAGCTCTTCTCTTCCCCCTCTTCTTCAGCCTACACAACCTGAAAATGACAAGGATGATGACTTTTATGATGATCCAATCCACTTAATGAATAGTAAATATATTTTCTTTTCCTTTTGATTTTTTAAATGACATTTTATTTTTTTCTAGCTTACTTGAAGAATGCAATATATAAAACATATAATAAAGAAAATGTGTGTTAATCTACTATTTATTGGTTAGGCTTCAGGTCAACAGTAGGCTATTAGTAGTTAATTTTGGGGGGAATCAAAAGTTATACATGGATTTTTGACTGCATGAGGTTAGCACCTCTAATCTTTGCATTGTTCAAGGGACAACTATGTGTGTGTGTGTGTGTGTGTGTGTGTGTGTGTGTGTGTGTGTGTATTTTTATTTATTTATTATTTATTTATTTATTTTGAGGCAAGGTGTTGCTCTGTCGCGCAGGCTGGAGTGCAGTGGAACGATTTCGGCTCACAACCTCCGACTCCTGGGTTCAAGCCATTCTCTTGCCTCAGCCTCCTGAGTAGCTGGGATTACAGACATGTGCTACCGTGCCCAGGGAATTTTTGTATTTTTAGTAGAGATGGGGTTTCACCATGTTGGAAAGGTTGGTCTCTAACTCCTGACCTCAAGTGATCCACCCGCCTTGGCTTCCCAAAGTGTTGGGATTACAGGCGTGAGCCGCCGCGCCCAGCCGGTCAACTGTATTTTTAATTTGCATGTAGGCTACTGAGTCCCTGTTTTCATGCTATTCAGATGTCATTCTTCCTCATTCATTGAGGTTCATATTGTATTTAGATTCAACAGGATTAAAGCAGCAACAATTATCAGAAAATCATATTAACTCCCCCTTTGTGTTTGTGTATATATGGGTACTTTTTATTGAATTTTAAAACAGGTAAAGGATTGTGCATATATACACACACAATACTTTTAGAGTGGATATATAGAGTATTTTGTCAATCTCTTACTGAATAACATTTAGGCTTTTCCATTTTTTTCTAGTTATAAAGAATGCAACAATTTAAGTATATATGTTTGACTAAGCATGTACATTAGCCATGTCTTATAAACATTAATATGAGGTATTCATATAGACTTTATAATAGATATGATTATAAATACAAAAAATAAATTATATAAACAATATAGTTTTGATTTTATTGTTTGTTCAAGTGCATCCTTTTACTCTAATGATAGTTGGCAATTTTGATTTTCTTCAATTGTTGGTTTCATAAATAATGCTGCAACAGACATTTTAGACATCATTTTTACGTATTTGTTTCATGGTTATTGTTTTCCAACAGATACAGGATTTTTGTCTTAGCATGAATGTACATTTTTATTAGATTTTAAAACAGATTAAGTATTGTGCTAATTAATATACCCACTAGAAATATATGCATGTGTGTGTATGTATGTATGTGTGTGTATATATATGTACATATGTATATGTATGTATGAAAGAGATTTTGGTTTTGTCTCTTTAACAACCATCATTGATTTCTGTTACGGATAAATGATAATTCAAGTTATTCACCCTGCTAATTTTCAAAACAACAACATCCTGCACAACTCTTTTCCTCATTTACTAAATGCTGAGCATGCTGCAGGACCTTCATACCTGGCGTTTTCTCTGCCTGGAATACCCTCCCTTGTTCCTCGTATCATGGACCTTTCTTATTCTTTGTTTCTGTACTTAAACTAAATCTCAAAGAGGGTGAACTTCATTTGTTATCTAAAGTAGTTCCTTTCTCCAAATTACTTTTCTTTCTCATGGAGAATTTCCACTTCATTCATCACACTTCATATAACATGATAATATATCTGTGATGACTTTTTAATATTCTGTTTTGACACCTAGGTTTGCTACTCTATTAAGGAAGAGAGATCTTGTCATTTTCATTCATCACTGTTCATTTATGTCCAAGTACAGTGCATAAAAATTAGTAGAGCTAGGTGAATATTTACTGAATCAATGGGCAAATCAATAACTAGAGGAAGTAGAGTATTGTATTACTTTTTAAATAAATTACTAAATGAAACTTTAAATTCATTTGACTAATTATATGATACTTCAAGATCCATTGTACTTAGAGGTGTGGATTTGTGTTTAGAATAGTCAATAAATTATGTAATTAATAAGCACCCAGATGAAACACAATTTAAGCAAGTAACCTCCAACTCAATGATAAGGTAGTATTCTTTTTAAATTTTTCTGATCATTGACTTATTATCATAAGCCAGATAACTAAATCAGGATAATGTTTCAGTATTAGAAAACCTACCATAAAATAAAAATGTTTAATCAATTTAATAACCATTTTCAAACACAGTGTAAGAGAAACGATTATTTTTACAGGAATATTAGAATTTCTAAGTAACTGTAACTGCAATAAAAAATGATTGCTAATGAATGCTGTTCTGAAATCTAAGTGATGCACAATTATGTATATTTTATATTTTTTAGTCAGAAGTCTTTAATGATAACTGCTATCAACTCTTTTCTTAAACAAATTTAATTTTAAATATTGTAATTTATTTTTACCATGAAATAAATTTTATCTGAAGTTTTGCTGGGGCTTTAACATTATTAAATAATGTTACGAAATGGTATAATTTAGCAATAGCAATGTATAAAAGACAGCATTTATTAGAGTATTCAGAATGACTTTTTTTTTCCCCTCAAGACAGAGTCTTGCTCTGTCACCCAGGCTGGAGTACAATGGTGTAATCTCGGTACACTGCAACCTCCACCTCCTGGGTTCAAGCAATTCTCCTGCCTCAGCCTCCTGAGTAGCTGGGATTTACAGGCATGCACCACTACACCCAGCTAATGTTTGTATTTGTAGTAGAGACAGGGTTTCATCATGTTAGCCAGGCTGGTCTTGAACTCCTGACCTTGTGATGTGCCCGCCTCAGCCTCCCAAAGTTCTGGGATTACAGGCGTCAGCCACCACGCCTGGCCTCCAGAATGATTTTTTAAATTTAGAAATATCCCTGCATCTCACTCTAACAATCATATTTAAACCCTCATGAAACCCTTAGCATTCTCACACATCAGTTGTTTTTCTCTGCCTCTGTTTTCTTTCTTTCCTCTTCTGTCCCGTAAAAGAAACATGACCATGAATTTCAAGAAAATGCTGTTGCCATCTTTCAGTAGCTAATAGTTACCTTCAAGTCGCCTTCAGGGTATCCTATTTGTTGCCCTTTTTGTGGGCGCTCAGATTTCAGATCAACTTTATAGGAAATGCACGTCCACATTTAATGATAGGGTCCAAGTGATTTTGATGAATGTCTGTCCCCTAGCCCTGATTGACACCAGCAGGCTGTGGAGGATGACAAATTGTCAGACAACAGATCAATCTGTTTTCTCCTTTAAGTAATGAGGAATGAAAGGGCAGAAGCATGGGGCAGGGGGTGCTTTCTGTGATTAGCTGGAGGCCTACTGAAGATGTTTGTAAATCAAACATGTTAGCAGTCTGTGTGTACTTATTATACATGCAGTAGTGTTCATGTTTGAGTGATGAGGATCGAATACTCAACAGATACCTTCAACAATAAAACCACACTTAAAAATGATGAGAAGAAAGGTATTGAACAAGCTGTGAATGTAAAACTGAGTGTTTCCTGAGAATGAAAAGAATATGTTGAGTAGGGAGATGAAAGGTATTAATAAAACAGCTTGAATTGTAGATGTTTGAAGATTGGGAAACCATATTAATGATTGACTATCTTTTTTTTCAAGTAATGAAGAGTACCTTGAATTATAAAATGTTTGTCTGGGGGCACAATTCACAGAGGCTGTGCCTGGAAATTATTAGGAAATATGTGTGTCATCTCACCTAATTTTGTCAACTCATTTTTTTTTTTTTTTTTTTTGAGACAGAGTCTCGCTCTGTTGCCCAGATGGCAGTGCAATGGCGCGATCTCGGCTCACTGCAACCTCCGCCTCCCAGGTTCAAGCAATTCTCCCTGTCTCAGCCTCCCAAGTAACTGGGATTACAGGCACCCGCTACCACTCCTGGCTAATTTTTGTATTTTTAGTAGAGACGGGGTTTCTTCATGTTGGCCAGGCTGGTCTCGAACTTCTAACCTCAGGTGATCCGCCCACCTCGGCCTCCCAAAGTGCCGGGATTACAGGTGTGAACCACCATGCCTGGCCTCAAATTTTTAAATAAAGAGAGACCTACATAAAAATCTATAAATTTTCATGGAAGTTATACACATTTTCTACTATTTTTCCAGAATCAACAAGTTAGAATTTGTCATTTTTTGGCAATATGATATACTTGATGCAAGACAACAGGAATAAAAGTTTGAGACTTAGAACAAACACATGTTAATGCCAAGCCTATTAAGTGACCTTTGAACCTCCCTTCCAACATGGGTATATATCACCTAGAAATGTTTTTGTTTGTTCTTTTGGGTACAAAGTGAACATTGTGTAGTGAGTTTAAGCAAAAATAATAATGACAATAATAACTATTAAAATAATGATAGAAGGAACATTTCTTAGTATTCAGGGAACAGAATACAACTTAGGCATAGAGACAAATTTTAGCCTGGGACTCAGGAATCAATCTCTTTCTCTCTCTCTCATCTGCATTTTTCCTTAATACAAACCCTTCAGTCCTCTTCATACAGACTAGATACTTACTTCTTCATAGAAATCAGATGGGTACTATTAATATTTTAGTTTAAAAAATCTGTTTCCTCTAATTGATTAGTCAGATGGAAAGAATTATTATATCTACATTTTAAATCCACAAACCAGACTTTGGATGGTATAAATTACTTCACATGCCCAACTTTGGACCGACTAATTATGGCCAAAAAAGTGAAGCCAAGTATTCTGAGTGTGCCTATGACCATGGAAGGAAAGGCAGAGGCTGTTTCCAGAAAATGGGAGACAGTTGCTCCCAATGGCAGCTGTACTGATAGCCAAAACAGTAGGTTTCTACTACAAAGAATATTGTTAAAAATTCTGATGAAAATTATATGGAACTTTATTTCTCAAAGTCTTTCAGTACAAGGTCTTTGGTGCTCCTGGAAAAAATTCTCAACCCTAAAACAAATACCAACATATAAAATAGTATTAAATTTTTAATTACTAGAAATTTTAAACACCGAAACATTTATTTTTATTATACAATTATAAGGATATAGCATATTAATTAAAATGAGTGAAACCCAGTTTATAAAGAAGTTAAGTCTTGAAGGCTGATAGATGTCTCTGATGTTTGGAAATGAGCAGATTAGTCTACACTCCTTGCAACATGGATAAATTGTTTAAACACACACACACACACACACACACACACACACACAAAACAAAAGCAGCACTTATAATGCCTATTATGAGGGACAAGGGGAATTGGATTATTTGCTAAGGTTTTGCCCATGAAAATACATTAGAAAGTGTAGGTAATAAACTGTGTACTGAAACAATTTGCTTACCTGTAAATTCTATAATTATAAATTTAATATGTTAAGTTCATCTGAAATAAATGAAGATCTCTACAAGTATTCTACAAAGAAATTGAATTGGTAGTTTAATCTTCAGTTTCCTAGGTTTTGTTTGGATGTTTGTTTTTTTCAATATAAGGACTTTGAAATAACAAGTCAATGTTAGGAGACATCTTGACTAATTCCTACACTCTACAGACATTTTTCTTGCCATACTTTCCCCTGTCTCTCAATTCAATCATTCCCATGACCTAAGCCATTTCCTGGGGTTGCAAGATACCTTACATATTCTGCCCACATAACAATGTACAAATTCCCCCCAAAAGTATATCAAATAAGAAGTTTGAACTTCATTTTCTCAAAGCCATTCAGTCTTTTCTACAGAAACTAGTAAAATGGGATATCAAATTTTATGTTTTAAATAAGACAATATAGTGGATATCATATACCAAAATCAGTTGTGAAAAAAACTCATAAATTTTCAAAAAAAGTTAGATACTCAAAACTTATCACATAATATCTAAACTTCTCTTTCACATTAATCGTATAAAATTCAAGTGAATGCGTGTCAGTTGCATTATGCCAAAATGACTTTTAGCATGCAAGGATTTTTGAACCATTTGCCGTTTTCTGGACATGGACTTAAAATTACAGTCTACTTTTTGCTTTAGTTCTAACATTATTTCCATATATCCTTGGGAAAGGCTATATGTAGCTGTATGAACGCAAATGTACAGGTTCTTTTCCTTTCTGTAAAGATATATATTTCAGCAGTCATCAAGGCTTTTCTCAGACACTTCTAGTTCTGGGACCCACTGATTTTATTGGATTACTCCAACTGTAACATTACACTGTAAGTCTGTACATTAGAATGATGTATCATAGTAATTCTAATGCAGTTATTCTGGTATGATTTAGATTCTAATCTGAAAGCATTATCTAGATATAATACTAAAGCAATCTCTTAGGAAGTTTTGTTCATTCCAGCAGAGAACAAAAAGTCCTATTTCATGCATGAATTATTAAATATGTACTTAAAGGGGTAGCAGCCCTTTTAATTTGGCCAAGTTCATTGTTTTAATTGGCAAAAATGACAAATGATCTAAAGTCTGAAGAATCCAGAGCCAAGGGGAACAAAATAAAAGGAAGCAAAGAATGCAAACTTGACCTACAACTGAGTTATGTTCTGATAAGAGTGGAAAAAATTTTAGTAATTGTTAGAGCTACCAATTAGTGTTCAACTCTATAGAAGAAATAAAAAATTAAAAAAAGATTTTTTCAACAATTGAGGGCTGTAAACATAGAGACTTTCATCTTATAAAATGCTACTCAAAGAAAGTAATGTTTCAGGCCCTTATAGGAGACTGGGCATGCAATTAAAGCAGGTGAGAAACTTAGTGGAGCAGTGCTTGAGCGTATTAAAGTGGAAACACGCGTGGTCTCCAGATTTAGGTACTTACAGTTTCATCTTGGTGACATTTCTTTTATTATAGTTTAACTACATATCAATACCTCACAAAGCAAGAGAGCGGCTTCTGTTCCACATCCGGATACTAGTAAGAATATCCAATCATCCTCACAGTTGTGCAACTCCATTTTCTTTAGAACAATAAATACAAAAAAGAGAATTAGTAGGCCAATAAAATATAAATAAAAAATTTGTAGCATTCAGACCCCAAATATACAAAAGTCAGAATAGCTATTTCCTTATATTTTGCAGTACAGATCCATGATGAAAATCTGAATTTGTAGGGACATGGTCCTCACAATCAAAGACTGATGTAGGAAAACCTACAGGGCAGTGTTTTTTCTTTTCATTAAAAAAGTTTGCAAACATTTAAAAAAGTCTAAGTAATAGTAATAGACATCCCTATACATCCCAAAGTAGTTAGAATGTTTACATATTTTTTCTATCCTTATGTGTGTATCAACACACACACACAAACACACACACACACACACACACAGGGCTATAGGTGTTTTTGGTGTTAAACTATTTAAAAAGAAATCATAGGAATTACTACACTTCACTCCTATGTACTTTAGCACGCATCTTCTAAGGAAAAAGACTTCTTCCTATATAATTAATCCTATATAGGATATATACTTATCACAACTAAGAACATTAACAATTATATACTTATCACAACTAAGAAAATTAACAATTATATAACTGAATATTTATTCAATATTAAACTTTTTTCAATTGCTTTAGATTTGTTTTCCAAACCAGATTTCAGTAAAATCTCATATACATGAAATATGTATATAATATATACATATTTCACCCACTTTTTAGAGCAGTTTCAAGTTCACAGTGAAATTGAGCAGAAAGTGCGCAAAGTTTCTGTCTTAGTCTGTTGCGCTGCTATAACAAAATACCTGAGACTGGGTAACTTATAAAGGCGAAAATTAATTTCTCATATTCTGAAGGGTGGGAAGTCAAAGATCAAGGCACAGACATCTGGTGTCCAATCAGATAATATTCAGAAGTGAAAAAAGTGGGGAGAGGCAGTGAAGACTAATGCTGTTTCCTCCCATGGTAGAATAGTAGAAGGGAGAGAATTCACTCCTGCAAGCCCTTTTTATAATGGCATTGATCTATTCATGAGGGTGGGCCGCTCATGCTCTAAACACCTCCCAAAAGGTTCCACCTCCCAATAAGGATGCACTGGAGATTAAGCTTCCAATACATGAATCTGGGGGGATGAATTTGGACCATAGCAGTTCCCGACATGTTACATTTTTTAAAAAGTTTCTCTTAATCTCCTTTCATCAAAAATATACCATTCCTTTTTATAAAAAAATCTTCTTCAGGATATGACTTGTTGAAGAATCCAAAGTGTCATAGAATATTCCATGTTCTGGATTGTCTGATTGCTGGTTATGTACTAAGTAACCCTATCAGCCTTATTTTCTATGAAGAGAAAATTAACTCTAAAGGCTTCCTTATATTTAAATTAATTTTTTAGACTACTTCATAAGAGGTACTTCTTAATTGGATCATATGACGGGAGCATATATGAGCTTGTCATAATATTAGTAATGTTAATTTGGACCACTTGTTTAAAGTGATAATCTGTAGAACTCCTCATTGTAGATATCTGATTGTTTCTTACAAATAGTACAAATCATCTCTCGGGTGATACCTTGGCATTGTGGGAGTAATTTCCCCCTGAAAAAAATACATTTTAATCTAGTGGTTTTTTAATATACTCACCAACTGAGCCTGAAGTAATGATGGGAATTGCAAATTGATAAAATAATTCTATCACTTTTAATATTAATCAACTGAAATTCCTCCATCAAGAGAAGCCTTCCCTGATCAACACTTTGTGGTTTTTAAATTTAAGCTTTTAAACTCTTCCTTTAAAAAAGGTGTTGAAAAATTTGTTGCCAGGTAGTAACATTAGTGCAAGATGAACTGAGGTTTGTGTATGTGGACTGGGTGTTCATTTACTTTTTCTTTATAAAAGTCTGTATTGTTTTATGATAAATTAAACATACATAAATATTGTAATTAAAAATGTAGGAACATTTAAATTAACTCTTTCTTCCCAATTTGAAATTTTTACTCAATTACTTTGTGAACAAAAATACACATTTTTGAGCACTTAATGTGTGCTGGACAATTTATAAAGTAAAAACTATTCTTTCTAGTATAAGTCATCATTTTTCAGAAGAGAAGATTTATATGGTTAAACCTATTGCTGAATATTTAATTACCAAATGTGCTTCAGAACCAAGATTGCAACATAACTATTTTCCATTCAAGAAATTTTTGTCTTCTGCATTGTTTCTATCAACTCTGTTCTACAAAGACACAAACTTCATACCAGTTATATCAAACTTTTTAATTCATGGAACTGAAATGGACTTAGGGTCTATTGAAAAAAAGTGGGTTTGATTATGATTTTAAAATGTACTGAGATTCTGTTTTTCATTCAGGTATGCGCGGTGAGGTCACTAATAAAGGGATTATTGCCAGTTAAAAGATAGCTTGTTAAGCACAGTTCCCAAGAAGAAGGGGAACACTACACCACTCAGGGCCATATGTGGGAGCACCAGGAACAGTCCAAAGGCACAAGGAATGAGGGGAAAGCAAGGCCAGTTCCTTTATTGAGGTTTTGGTGGGAAGGAACGGGTCAGGCAAGATGAGCAGTTTGGTGGGAAGGAATGGGTAGGCAAGATGAACAGTTTACAATTCGTGTAAATAATTTCAGTAGGGACTGGGCCATAAAGGTGGTCCCTATTTTTCTGGAACCTGGCACTGCAAGGTAATTCAGACCGCAAGAGCCTGATAAAAGCAGGTGGATGGCAGTATGGAATAGGGATTTGTTGGTCTGCCTATTAAAAGTAGCCTCACAGGCAAGGGTTTTGCTGTCTCTGAGAATTAGCTAACCTTGAGAGGAGCAGTCCCTTCCTGGGTCCACAAGGCCCCAAGATGTCAAAGCATCATAAAGTATAGAAAATAAAAACATGATTAACACAATCAGGAAGGAATATTATCTAAAAACTAAGAAACTAAGTGTGAATGAGTTAAATTTGTCCATAAAGAAATTTAATAGTATGAAATTATGTAGTGATAACATGTAAGTATAACTAATAGACTTATAAATCATGTATCAATTAATAAATGCTATATTCCACTTCATTTTATATGATTTATCTATTTTAGGGATTGAATTGTATTTTTCATTGACACAGAAGCATACAATACATTTATATGGAAATATATCAGAAACATCTTATCAGTAATATGACCATAATTTTATTTTTAAGGAAACCGATTATTTACCTAAAACCATCAGAAATTTTACTATTGTTTAATTTTTGTGCTAGAGATTAGCAGAAGTGTTCTAGATGTTCCAATACTTTCATTTTAAAATACTAATATTTGTGGAGACTTTATGTGTAGTTTTTGTGCCATATGAGCATTCTGTATAGTCGGTAATATTGTTATGATATAGAGGTAGCATTTTCTCTAAAAGTGAAAAATATTTGTTGTTACACTTATCACTACCAATATATTTATTAATTTTAGTAGCAATCCTGTTATTGGCACAGAATGACAGTTCTGCATTTATGAGATGTCAGTTGCAGTGATGTAAGATTTACAAGATGTTAGGTGACTTCCATCTGAGTGGCAATGGAGCATCTGCTAGTGCATATGATCAAGCAGAGGACACAGATACCAAGTGCTGAAAGCAGCAGTCTGACTCTCATCCTGTTGGATAAGTAGATTATTTTTGGCTTTACCAACATATCAGTGGAATTAAAATAAACTTACAGTAATCCTATTAGCTTCTAAAAATAGTTATAAGTTTATTTTTGACACCTAGGATGTTAATATAGACATGACAAATTGTAAGAAACCACTTTTCTGGTGTCTAAATGCTACTGTTTACATGAAAATCTTGTATATCTTCTGTTCTGGGTAACCATTTCTCTAGAAAATCAAGGTTAGCTCATGGTCACTAGGGTCAGGTTTCTCCATTAAAGTTTCTCCATTCCAGTTAAGTTTGTTTGGTTTCTTTCATTAAATGTTTAATGGTATATGCCTTGCATACTCTGGCTTCATTTTAAAAAGGAATTGAAAAAGAAGTATAAGTACATCAACAGAAATTTACCATTTCTGTAGCTTATTTGGTTTATCATTGTTCATTATTTAGACCTAATCTTATTTAAGATCAAAGAACTGTATCTGCTTTCAGAAGAAAAGTATAACAGGATAAAAATATAAAGAATAGGGCAATTAAATGATAGAAGATTTTTTAAAAATGGAAAACATATTGTAGCTGATGACAAAGTTGGGAGGTGAAAATTCAAATTCTAGCCTATATTGGGCCACAAACTAGGATAGTGTATTTTTTCACAGTCAAAGCTAGAGAGAAGCTGGGTTGAGTTATGAGAGGTACAGCACCATTAACTGAGAAATGTTGGAAAGTGGCAAGTAAAAACATGTATTCTTTTCAGTGCCAGGGTAATAACGTATAATACAATTACAAAGTAGAAACCTGGATTTTTAGAGGATCTACAAACACGATTATTTGATTATTTATAATTGATCGTAATTCTCTTGTTAAACATCTCTTAAACATGCTCTGTCAGAGATTATTGAATTATCAACAAAACTTTTTTAAAATTATTAGATAGTTAGTAAAAGATAAGGCCTTTGGAAATATATTCTTCCATGGATGTTGTTTGTTCAAGAAATACGTTCTATTAAAAATGGCATAATTAACCTTTAATAACATATTTAATGGCTCATTAAATATGGAAATGAGCCAGGTTTATTGATGGCCCCTACAAACTCCAAGGCACCCCATATCTATCATCGTGGTTTTGAAGGACCCCTCACTCTCAACTGTGGCAAAATGGCGCAAGTTACAAGTGGGATCGGTTTAGTCAGAGCATGTGAGCTTGAATCTCAGACTTCACTTGATACTATGTTGCATTTTAGGCAAGTCCTTTTACTTCTTTCAAAGGCTTCAGAAATTCTTTAGTTCATTAGTTCTCCTTATTATACATAAAATTCGGAAGACTGTGTAGTGTGTTAGCAAATGTGTGAGCTTTGTAGCTAGCCCTGCTATACCTGTACCATTTTATAACTTCTTGGCCTTGGGCAAAGGGTTTAACTTCTGTGAGCCTCCACTTTCTCATCGTGGAAACGGAGATAAGGATCCTTGCTTTTGAGACTATAGGCAGGATTAAACATGTTTAAAATGCATGGCATACAGCAGATTATCAGTGAATGGTAACAGGAGTTGTTGGCAGTGCATCTGTCATTATTAATATTATGATTGCAAGTACATTTTCATTAAAGATATGAATAGCTTTCTTTCTCTTCTTGACCTTAGGAATATTAAACACCCCACTGAACTTGATATTTGAGAAAAACATTTGAGATTATGTTATTCAGTAGTGTTAAAACTTTAGGCAACAGAATTTACAATATATAAAAGAACCATCAGAGTAGTCCTTTGGTTGAAGCGAACCAAGGGGCCAGTATGCCCACTCGGTTAGCTTCCCCTCATTAAATGTACAGAGACCCCTGAAGCAATTCAGAATTCTAGATATCCAAGAAACATAGTTTTGGAAATACTAGTATAGTGAAAAAAGTGTATTTTACATGTATTGAAAGGTTTATTTTACATATATTGAACATATATTTTGCATATATCAAAAGCTTTATTTACATATATTGTACATATATTGAAAGGTTTATTTTACATATATTGAAAATTGATTCAGAAACGCAATGTATTGGCCAGGTGCAGTGGCACACACCTGTAATCCCAGCACTTTGGGAGGCCGAGGCGAGTGGGTCACCTGAGGTCTGGAGTTTGCGTCCGGCCTGACTAACATGGTGAAACTCCGTCTCTACTAAATTAAAAAAAAAAAAAAAAATAGCCACGCATGGCAGCGCATGCCGGTAATTCAAGCTACTTGGGAGGGAGGCTGAGACAGGAGAATCACTTGTATCTGGGAGGCGGAGTTTGAGTGCGCCGAGATCGCGCCATTGCACTCTGGCTTGGGCAACAAGAGCGAAACTCTGTCTGAAAACAAACAAACAAAACACAAACAAAAAAGAAATGCAATGTATTCATTCATTCAGAAATTCAGTATGCAATGGTCAGACCATGTAAACATAGTTCACTGGTATTTCTTTCACTCAATACATACATATATGTATAAATGTATGTATGTATTTGTGTGTGTGTGTGTATATACATATATTTACACACACTCTCTACCTATATATGTGTGTGTGTTGTATATACACACACATATATTATTATAATATATGTACATATATACATGTATATTACATGTACAAATATGTACATATATAATGTATATTATAGATACACAAATATGTTATTTTATATATGTAGCAAGAGAGGAAGGAAATTGACACTTCATTTAATTTTTTTGTTTACTATTGGTTTTTACTCAATTAAAGCCCAATTATTTTATTCTCATAAGTATTTTTGCTGATCTGTTATTTTTTCATATCTTATAATAAACTAATTTTGTGTTGGTATAAAAGTAAAAAAAACATATTTATGGCTTTATATTTCCGTGTTTATTTGCATTTTATTATGAAGATTTGAAACATACCAAAAAGTAAAGAGTAAGCCAAAGAATCCTCGCTCCTATAACCTACAAGCCAGATTTTAAAATTAAGAATTTGCCATGTTTAATTAATAGTAACTTTTTTCCATTTATTATTTTTTCTTTGATGAAGCATTGAAAAGAGAATATCCTGTGCCATGCCTGTAACTACTTCAGTTTGCATCTTTAAAATGAGTATTCTCTTACATAGTCAAAAGATATTATCAGACCTAACTATTAACAGTTCTTGTGTTTTTTTTCTAGTTTAAAATAAACAAATGGCATTCAAAGTAATGTTGGCCTCTATACTACAATCACACTGAGTCATACTGCATGCCCAAAATATTACTTTATACTCATTTAAGAGAAAATAAGCTTTTTTTTAGCTCTAGAAGTATATAAAATACTAATGATAGAGCCAAAAACTAGTTTATAGAACACAAGATTTAATAAAGTCAAGGACTGTCTTTTAGAAGTATGTGTATAGAATCCAACACATAATCATAAATATACTAGAATTTCATGAATTATTTTGATGGTAATTTAAGGTATGATAACTTTGAGTCATTTGATTCAGAGAAAGATTTACCTATTACCATTTTACTTTATATTAAATAGCATGTCTACCTTGTCCTTTGGGGAAAAAAATTCGACCAATAGTATACCTATTTGATAGTCCTAGCAGCAATTGTGACTTCTGAAAGCACTTTTTTTTGGCCAGATGATTATTTTGATTGCATGAGTACACTTATTAAACCACATAAAATCATCATTACAAGGGCACACAGACACAATCCGTATTACGTTAGCATTTCTAATGATGTCCTCTGTAACAGGCAGAGTTAGTTCCTAAGAATGACTTGCGAAATAGATAAGCCCTTATATATTTCTCACTAATGAAAGATTCTAACACAAGAAATTAAAGTTAAACAACTACAGGAAGTTCTGTGGGAACATAGAACAGGCAAGTCTGTGCCAAAAATCTCAATCTCCAGAAGCAATGTGGGTCTCTCCAGAATGTGCTCCTATGTAGCTGGAAATTCAAGAACGTCATTGGAAATATTCAGGCAACTCACACAGAAGCTACTTTGAATATTATAAACCACCAAAGACTATTTTAGTATGCAATGACTAAACATGTGATTCTCCAGGAGCTATTGCCTGGGCAGCTAAAGTGAGTGATTGATGGTAATGTTCCAGGAAGCTGCTGTGAACTTAAAGTCTGCCATATGCCCATACCTCTGCCTTACTCCATCGGGGAATAATGGACTCCCCTATTTTATAGCCTTCTAAATCTCACATGAGGGTACTTTATTGGCAAATTCTAACCTGGAACCATATGTGGAAGTACAGTCTGAATATGCAATTCTTGTTTTTTTCTTCTAGGAGGTAGTGATAGTAACGTTGAGTTTACAATACACACTCACAGACCTTAGGTAGAGGAGACTTGTTTTCCCCTCTCCTTCCGTTTATCATATTGAACTTACACTCCTTCTGATAGCTTATTGAATAAATAAGTGACAAAAAATAAACCAGACATGTGGATTGTCTTTTTTCATTATGTATTTTTTAGAATTAAGAGGTGGCATAAGGTAATACAAGTGGCGTTGAAGATACGAAAGATGAGTTTAAGTCAGGCTCTGCCACTTAGGGGCCATGTAGCTTAAGTTAGTCACCTCACTTCTCTGAACTTTGGTGTGCTCATCTGCTAATTAAAGTCAATCAGATCTGTTTGGCATCATCTGTTACAATGTGTTGACTTAAGAATAACACAAGTAATGTGTGTTTAAATTATACTGTGTACACAAGTGTCAGAGAAGTGAATGATTCCCTTTTCAACATTGTATGGTACAACAATGCACACATTTAGAAAACTCTCAGGCCATCAACAATCAATTTACCCCAGTTTCTAACATTCAAAAGTTTTCACTCCCCATCCTCTTAAAGACTATCTGTTGATTATCTTCAAAACTACTTATCTTAGTCATGGGTGTGGAAGAAGAAGGCTGTTGGGATATCATCTTTATTCTCTCTTCACATAAGCTTATCCTAAATAAAATTGAGGATACTACTTCATCTCAGGCTAGGCATCAACCATTACTTATTCCTAACTTTATCATTCACTGAGCAGATATATATTGAGAAATTAGTTTCACCTGCTGAGTGAGAAGCAGCATGCAAGAACAGTTAAATGGCATATTAACAAATATAAACAAAGTATATAATGCTATATAACTCAGGGTAATATTCAGAAAACCAAAGAAAGCATATTGAAGTGATTGACCTCTCCACTGAAGTCATCTATGAAGTGATGTGCACAGTCATCTCCCTGAGGTCTGCCTTTCATAGATGCAGCCACACTGACACTTCCTGGGGTACGTTCATTTTCTGCTTGAGGCCACCTTTTCCCACTTCCTGGGGAACTGTCCAGGGAAACATGTGGGCTCTGCTGTCTCTCAATTCCTATATCATTTCTTCAGTCTCAGAGAAATTTCTTTCTACCGTTTTCTGTTGTCAATAAAGGCACTCCTAATAAAATAATTTTAGTAATTGGAAGATTTTATAAAGAAAAGAAAACATAGCTTCTAGCAGTTTCTTCTCTGTGCTTTGAAAAAATAACCTAATCACAAAACACGTAAGAGTTAAACATTTAAATTAATGAGTTTACAGTTGAAAAATACTTGGCTACACTCTCTGAATGGTGCCAGTGGGAGGAGGGGAAAGAATATACATACAATATAATGTCTTGGTGAATTTTTCTACTGTGTGTTCTGGAGTAGAAATGCTGAGAGTGGGAGCTTATGTTGAGAAATGTTATAAAGAGGATAAAATAAGGACGAAAGAGATAATCATTTTCTTATGATAGAATCAACACTTACAGATAAATTGCAAAGGAAGGGAGGAAGAAGAAAACAGAATCAAGATTAGAGTATGGTAGGTTCAGTTGGATGTGTTGGATTGGTTTTCCTTCTCTTAGAAAATATGCATGAAAAATATATATTCCCATGAATATTTCTATGAGTAAACAAATATACAGTCATTTTTGAGCCATGATTTCTTTTCTATTTTACATATGTGGAAAAGCTGCAAACATTCATGGTCTTACATGTTTGAAAGATTCTAAGTGCTGCAAACCCATAGCACAACTTCCAGCTGCCTTTCATACTTTCACCAAATTTCCTTCATGGAAACTGGTGATTCTCATATCTTTGATCTTGGTTCAGCTTTTGAGGGCACAGAGACAAGGCACTTCTTAAATAATGCAGCTAGTGCAATCTTCTAGACAAATGGCAAATTAATCAGTCTCTGAATCCTTGTTTTTTGAAGACTTGTGCATTTTTAAAGAAGACGGAATAATTGTTTAGTGACTTGGTGCCATTGATTTTCATTATAGATGGTGTTGGCTGGGTCTGTGTCAGGTCATCAGGGAGAAATAGCCTCTGCGTACCTAAATAAAATAGGGAAAGAGGCACTTATTTCATATTCACAAGAAGAAACTCAATCCTTGAAGAAGTTCTGCATGACCTTCCCTTAAGAACAACTTTTGCCCATTGAGTGATTTTCAGGAAACGATGACAAAAATCTCTCAGCACAGATATCACGAGTATATCTTGGCTTCAGTGGTACAAATCGTTTCCCACCTGGGACAATTTTAAAAGAAGGACAAGTTTGAAACGACATAAACAAGATGATTTAAAATAGCATATTGAAATCCACAGTAAATTTCATGGTTATAGTTGAATATGCTTCGAATAGAACAATAAAAAAATGCACACTACTTGCTTCAGCTGACAAAGACAGCACAAGTTTTGTGTTTTCAGAAGTTCCATTTAAGTTAGGTGGTCTGCCACTTCATGAACGTTTCACCGAAAATTTTATCTACTGATACTGAACTGGTTATCGTTAAAGTGCCTCTTGTTAGTCCCAAGATAGCTATCCTTTCTAATGTTTTCTAGAGAGATTCTCACACATTTGACTTGGACATGAAGCTGTTTTAAGTTTGTATCCAAATTTTTCTCTCATCCTTCTCCATTTTGTTGAAAGGCTGGTTAACCATTGTTCATACTTGATTCAGGTTTTTGTTTTAAATGTAACCAACCTTATTTATTTCCCAATTCCTAATTTATTCAGTTTGTATAGATTTTGGCATCAAAATTTCTGTAAATAAAGTGTTTTCAGAGGCTTCAATCATTTTGAAATAAAATCTATAATTTTTTGTTTCATAATGACAGATTTTTTTTTTTAATCAAGAAATCACACAATTATATTGTGGCAACTCAATGAATTTCTCCAGAGAAAAGACTCACTCTAAAAGAATTTCTGCCATGATTTCTTTTAGATATATGCCATAGCAATTCCCTTTTTTAATGTAAATTAAATGATTTGAGTAAGTGAGCTGTTACACAGCTTAGAGAAAGAGAGGTCCTCTGCTTTGCTGGAATGAAGTGTTCATGAGATATGGATCTTCTAACCTATTGGGTAATTTTCTCCTAAATGTAGTCATCAAGGACTATTAAATAAATTTATCAATTAAAGACAAAATTACCACTCCCATGTAACTGCAAGTGAATCTTATTAAATGGCGTGCTACTATATTACAGTAAACATGGCAGGTAATTTAAGATTCTACAGAGGATTTTGATTCATTGTCCAAACATGCCTTATTTAGAGTTTAATCAAGACCTGTTTAGAAGATCATTAACCATATTTCATGTTTTTTCATTGTTCACATCATAAGTCCAACATGCCCAATAACGGCCTTGTTAGCTTTATCAGGTCAACAAAGATAGAGTTAATATTATCTTGGCTATCCACTTGAATGTTGTTCTTCAGAGAAGAAAGTAAACCTTGGGATTTCTATTAGAAATGTCTAATCTCCAGTACATTCTAAACAGTGCTAAGCTTTTGTGACAGGAGTCTACTTTTTCCATGATGAATTACTATTTCAGAGAAGCTTTCAACTGTGAGATCCCAAGCAGATGTTTCAGAGAGAGGGATGATACACTCTAATTTTACTTGCTTCCGAGTTACTTTGTATTCACGTTCACCCTTATGTTTAATATTATAATCCCTTTTGTCACCTTGCAAATTTTTGTCCTGCATAATATGAAAAAGTATTCATCAGAAGTCCTGCTAAAAGTTCGTGTAATTGTTATAGCATTAATAAAATTTGATATAGACTAAGACTTGTGTTTTAGGGTGTGTCAGATAATGACATTTTAATACAAGATTATTTGGCAGTCATTTTCTCCTTGTGCTTTAAATAAAGTGTTCCAGAATAACGAGTAATGACTGCATTGGAGACAGCAGACAAAATAACTTTGTGACATAAATAGATACTGCTTTCTTCTTTCCTGATAACAGGCTGCAAATCTATTGAATTATCTCTGAGAGAGAAAACAAGAGAGAGACATGGAGAAGGGAAAGGAGAAAGGAAGAAAGGAAAATCGGAGAACGAAAGTAAATTTGACGATATTCACTTTGCATTTTTATGATTAGCCATATGTAAGCAAAGTAATTTCATGGTTAATGAATGAAATAAGGATGAATTTATAACCTTAAACCACATTGATAATGATGGAGCATTTTGCTTTGTAAATTAACTATCTCCAAGGTTCATTTGACTGTGGAATATATTAATACTTCCCTTACACAACTAACAGAGAAGATGAAAGAGAGAATTTCCTCTACGCTACTGATGAAAGTGTTCTATTTTATTGAGAATGCATGGGTGAGAATATTTAGTGAAAATAATGATACCCCCTTTACTTCTCTTGCTCAATAGAAGTTTCTCTTTAACAGAAGGTACATCTATGTAGAATACAGTGATAGAAATTAACTGCTAGCAATCAGTGATATAAATTACTTACTGGTAATTTATTGTCATAAGTTTTACACACACATGTTAGAGATTTTTGGCATATGGGAAAAATGTGTTTGTTAGAATATCGCAGAGATGTTTCATGATGAAGGAATCAAAAGTGTGTTTGTTTGTGTCCTTCTGTATGTGAGAGAAAACTTACTGATTTAGCAAAGTCAAAAATTAAGCAGAATCTTGAAACCTAGACATCAAAAGTGAAGTCCAGAAGTAAGCAAATTTAAAGTGACAAAGGTATCAAACTGGAGAAGAGATCCTGAAGTTGAGGTCTGGAAGACAATCTCAAGAGCATACAACATGAGAGTAATTGCTTATATTGTGTATGTTAATAGTTTTTATAAGTTTCTATGATCTCAGAGCAGGGATATCTAGTCAAATTTTTCAGGGACAGAGGCTAATATGAAAGGTTATGACCAAAGAGCAAAAATAATCACACACACACACATATTGGAGAAAATATTGGTAAATTGACTAGAGTCAGTCTCTTCTTATCTTTACGTAAGTATACAGTTTTATGTTGAATTTCAGTTATATGCTACTTGTTGATCTCTATTATTAGTCTATAAACTCCGTGAGGATAATGTCCATTAGGCATCTTATTCATTTATAAGTAAGTTGAGATAGTTTATTAAAATAAAAAACAGCATTTGAGTTAAAAAATGGGCTTCAAATTTCAGAAATGTAATGTGTTAGTTGTATAAGCATAGGCAAGTTGGTTGATGTCCTGAACATTCTATTCTTCATTTGTAAAATTTATCTTGCAAGATTATTGTGGGTTTTAGAGGTGATGTAAGTAAAACGAGTAGTACTTTTCTCCATTTGTAATAATATCTTGTACATATGTTTGATATTGTGTTTAATATCTGGCACATACATTAGATATTCACAGTGCTGGGCTCCTAGTAGGCACTCTGTTTATCCTTGTTGAAATAAATTTTATTCATTCAATGTCTTAGTTTGGGTTTCCCCAAAAGCAGAGCTGGAGAAAGGGAAGTAATTGCACATGTTCCCTTCTCCATGGAATTTAACTTACTTGAATTTATAGAACAATAAAATTCCTATGGATTTGAAGAAAGTCATGGGCAGAAATACATAGAGCAGCCTCTGGGAGAGGCTGTCAGTAAATGTGGAACTGTCCACGGCTGCTGTGCTGAAATCACAGGAAGGCTTAGTGGTTACGGAACATGGGACAGAAGGTGTCTTCTACGATAAATAAATCATGACACTCATGCTTAGATTTTCAAAGGCACAAAGCACATAATATTTTCTGCTTTCTATTTGTATTCTTCATGACTAGCACAATTTTTGGTACACATTAAAAAGCACTTGTTAAATTAAATTACATTAATCTACAGATAAAGTCCAACAACAACAAACTACTAACAAATACATGCTGAAATTCTAGGGTAAAGGACGGCACACTTTTCTTCTAAATTAGCTCAGCATTTCAATATTGTTGCTGAAATAATCCTTATAACACTATTGGTTTTTCATTACTACCTTAGTATCTTTCTGGATTGTCTAAATGTAATATACTTGGTAGGTAATCAATGATAAGACTTCACAATATTATAGACTATAAAACATCCTCTGTGATTACAAAATACTCTTTTATATTAGATTTTTAATGGATTTATTTTCATAAAAACTTTCAAATACAAAAATGCCATTTTTTAAACAAGGATGCAGCCATAAGAAATGATGATTTCATGTCCTTTGTAGGGACATGGATGAAGCTGGAAACCATCATTCTCAGCAAACTATCACAAGGACAAAAAACCAAACACCACATGTTCTCACTCACAGGTGGGAAATGAACAATGAGAACACATGGACACAGGAAGGGGAACACCACACACCGGGGACTGTTGTGGGGTGGGGGGAGGGGGAGAGAAAGCATTAGGAGATATACGTTGCGCACATATACCCTAAAACTTAAAGTATAATAATAATAATAATAAAACAAGTATTGTTTATAACAAATATGAGGTGATAGCTCTTTATTTTAGGTAGCTCCTAATATAAGAAGCCTTCTCCAAGGTTGTATACAAATGATAAACTTATTTTTAACTATGACATTAAGCTTGTTTAATTTTTGAAATGTTTTCAAGTGAGTCTTTAGAGATGAAAATATTAATATTAAATCACCATAATCTAAATTAAAAGGTTCTCTTAAACACAATCTTGTGTCTGGATTTCAGTGAGTTTTCAAAAACAATGCCTAAGCTTGGCAGTTCTGTGCATAACACTATTTTCTCAAAATAAATTTTGTCAGAGGGAATCATGGTCATTCCTGTACCATAGACTTTCACTGTGAGAAAATAAGATAAAATTACTTGTTATCTTTCAAGAAGAGTGCAGTTGTTAGAAGACATGCCAAATGTATAGTGTTATTCTTAAATAACAGCGTTGAAGCATGATGTTTGGAGAAGCAGTTCCACCACATAGAACAATATTATTTCCTTCAAAAACATGTACAATTTCAAAAGCAAGAGTTTGGGAGATGATAATCTTTTATCCAATCCTCAGAACGATCTCTGTGTGAGTTTTGTTGTTGTTGATTGTTGTTTCCTTCAGTGTTATTTAAGAATCGGGTTATCAGATAAATCACTAAGCTAAGAATGAATTTGAAATTAGGTTTCCTGAAGTATTTTAATGCCATCTGAAATCTCTCCCTGAAACATTTAATAGTTGAAAAAATTTCAAAGAAGTAGCCTTAGAATAATAAATGAGATGACACTAAGCTTTCTCCTTATCCAGTTATTAGAATATAATAAATAATAGAAAGTATTGGGTTTGGGGTTGATTTCTGTTATTTTACTAGTTCCTTGAAATGTGACCTGAAATTTTCTATTTGTGATCTTTCAAACTTTGATGTAAGCATTTAGGGCTATGAACTTTCCTCTTAGCAGTACCTTTGCTGTAGCCCACAGGTTTTGATAGATTGTGTCACTATTAGTGTTCAGTTTGAATAATTTTTCTAATTTCCATCTTGATTTCATTGTTGACCCAATGATCATTCAATAGCAGCTTATTTAATTTCTATGTATTTGTATGGTTTGGAAGGTTTTGAGGATTCCTTTGAGAATTGATTTTGAGTTTTATTCCACTGTGGTCTGAGAGAGTACTTGATATAATTTCAATTTTCATAAATTTATTGAGTTTTGTTTTGTGGCCTATCATATGGTCTATCTTGGAGAAAGGTCCATGGGTCCATGTGCTGATGAATAGAATGTATATTCTATGATTGTTGGGTAGAATGTTCTCTAAGTATCTGTTAAGTCCATTTGTTCCAGGGCATAATTTAAATCCATTGTTTCTTTGTTGACTTTCTGTCTTGATGACCTGTCTTGTGCTGTCAGTGGAGTATTGAAGTCCCCCATTATTACTGTGTTGCTGTCTATCTCATTTTTTAGGTCTATTAGTAATTGTTTTATAAATTTGGGAGCTTCAGTGTTAGGTGCATATATACTTAGGATTGTGGTATTTTCTTTTTGGACAAGGCCTTTTATTATATAATGTCCCTCTTTGTCTTTTTTAACTGCTGTTGCTTTAAAAGTTGTTTTGTCTGTCCATTTGCATGGAATGCCTTTTTCCATCCCTTTAAGTTTATGTGAGTCCTTACGTGATATGTGGGTCTCTTGAAGGCAGCAGATGGTTGGTAAATTCTTATTTATTCTGCATTTCTGTGTCTTTTAAGTGGAACATTTAGACCATTTCCTATGCTATT
Organism: Homo sapiens; assembly: GCF_000001405.40. NCBI lineage: Eukaryota > Metazoa > Chordata > Mammalia > Primates > Hominidae > Homo > Homo sapiens. The sequence goes on from NW_013171805.1 coordinate 43,803, forward strand.
TGTTGCCTGTATACCTTGTTTTTTATTGTATTTTGTTTTATAGGTCATGTGAAATTTATGCTTTAAAGAGGTTCTGAACAACTTTACATGCATAAACTAAAAATCCTGGAGGAGATGGATAAATTTCTGGAAAGATACAAACCTGCTAGCTTAAATGAGGAAGAATTAGATACCCTGAACAGACCAATAACAAGTAGTAAGATTGAAATGGTAATAAAAAAATAACTAACAAAAAAAAATTTTAGACCAGACAGATTCACAGCTGAATTCTACCAGATATTCAAAGAAGACTTGGTACCAGTCCTATCGACACTATTCCACAAGATAAAGAGGGAAACCTCCCTAAATCATTCTGTGAAGCCAGTATGTGTATAACCCTAACACCAAAACCAGAAAAGGATATAACAATAAAAGAAAACTACAGACCAATATCGCTGATGAACATATATGCAAAAATTTTCAACAAAATACTAGCTAACCAAATCCAACAACATATCAAAAAGATAATCCACCATGATCAAGTGGGTTTCATGCCAGGGATGCAGAGATGGTTTAACATATGCAAGTCAATAAGGGTGATATACCACAATAAACAGAATTAAAAACAAAAATCACATGATCATCTCAATAGATGCAGAAAAATCATTTGATAAAACCCAACATCTCTTTATAATTAAAACTCTCAGCAAAATTGGCATACAAGGGACATATCTCAATGTAATCAAAGCCATCTATGACAAACCCATGGCCAACAGAATACTAAATGGGGGAAAGTTAAAAGCCTTCCTTCTGAGAAGCACAACAAGGTAAGGATACCCACTCTCACCACTTCTATTCAGCATAGTACTGGAAGTCCTAGTCAGAGCAGACAAGAGAAAGAAAGGTAAAATTTCTAGAAGATAACATCGGAAAAACCCTTCTAGACAGTGCCTTAGGATAAGATTTCATGACCAAGAACCCAAAAGCAAATGCAATAAAAATAAAAATAAATACCTGGGACTTAATTAAACTAAAAAGCTTTTGTATGGCAAAAGGAACTGTCAGCAGATTAAACAGAAAACCCACAGAGTGGGAGAAAAATCTTCACAATCTATGCATCTGACACAGGACTAATATCCAGAATCTACAAGGAACTCAAACAAATTAGCAAGAAAAAAACAATCCCATCAAAAAGTGGGCTAAGGATATGAATAGACAATTATCAAAAGAAGATACACAAATGGCCAAAAAATGTGTGAAACAATGCTCAGCATCACTAAGGATCAGGGAAATGCAAATCAAAACCACAATGTGATACCACCTTATTCCTGCAAGAATGGCTATAATAAAAAAAATCAAAAAATAATAGATGTTGGCATGGATGCAGTGAAAACGGAACACTTCTACACTGCTGGTGGGAATGTAAACTAGTGCAACCACTATGGAAAACAGTGTGGAGATTTCTTAAAGAACTAAAAGTGGAACTACCATTTGATCCAGCAATCCCACTACTGGGTACCTACCCAGAGGAAAAGAAGTTTTTATACGAAAAATAAAATACTGGCTCACACATGTTTATAGCAGCACAATTCACAATTGCAAAGACGTGGAACCAACCCAAATGCCCATCAATCAATGAGTCTATAAACTGTGAGATATATATATATATATATATATATATATATATATATATATATATCCAACCATTATTGCAATTATCATTTTGATCCTATCTATACTAAATGTTGTCTCTACTCCTGTTTTTAAAGCATATATATATATACACACACACATATATACACACACACATACATATACACCCACATATATATACACACATACATATATATGTATATGTATATGTATATTTGTATATGTATATATATACACATATATATACATATATACGTATATATGTGTATATGTATATATGCGTATATATATGTATATGTATGTATATATGATGGAATACTACTCAGCCATAAAAAGGAATGAACTAATGCCATTCACAGCAACCTTGCTGGGATTGAAGACTATTATTCTAAGTGAAGTAACTCAGGAATGGAAAACCAAACATCGTATGTTCTCACTCATAAGTGGGAGCTAAAATCTGAGGATGCAAAGGCATAAGAATCACACAACAGACTTTGGGAAATTAGGGGGAAATGCTGGGAAGGGGGTGAGGGATAAAAGACCACACATTGGCCTGTAATCCCAGCACTTTGGGAGGCTGAGGTGGGCGGATCATGAGGCCACGAGATCGAGACCATCTTGGCTAACATGGTGAAACCCCATTTCTACTAAAAATACAAAAATTAGCCAGGGATAGTGGCACACACCTGTAGTCCCAGCTACTCGGGAGGCTGAGGCAGGAGAATCGATCGAACCCGGGAGGCAGAGGTTGCAGTGAGCCAAGATTGTGCCACTGTACTCCAGCCTGGGTGACAGAGCGAGACTCTGACTCAAAAAAACAACAACAAATAAAACAAAAAAACAAAAACATAACAAACTAAAAAGCACACACATTGGGTTCAGAGCCTACTGTTCAGGAGATGGGTGCACCAAAATCTCACAAATCACCACCAAAGAACTTACTCATGTAATCAAATACCACCTGTTCCTTAAAAACCTATGAATATAAAATCTTTCTTTTTTAATTTTATTTTTTTTATTTTTTTTATTTATTTTATTTTTTTTTATTTTTTGAGACGGAGTCTCGCTCTGTCGCCCAGGCCGGACTGCGGACTGCAGTGGCGCAATCTCGGCTCACTGCAAGCTCCGCTTCCCGGGTTCACGCCATTCTCCTGCCTCAGCCTCCCGAGTAGCTGGGACTACAGGCGCCCGCCACCGCGCCCGGCTAATTTTTTGTATTTATAGTAGAGACGGGGTTTCACCTTGTTAGCCAGGATGGTCTCGATCTCCTGACCTCATGATCCACCCGCCTCGGCCTCCCAAAGTGCTGGGATTACAGGCGTGAGCCACCGCGCCCGGCCAAAATCTTTTTTTAAAAAGAAACTGAATTGAATGGGAAGCCCAGTTATATTGAATTCCAGAGTTACACAGGCTTTCTTTGTACATTTTTTACTCCTTGGTCTGTGTTTACATTGCATGCCCTCAGAGCCTTTCAGTTTGGTTTTCTTTCTAAATTTATTTGGACCCAAATGCCCTGTTTCTCTTTCACCTTTATTTCTCAGCAAGGGTTAAAAGAAATAGAGGTCAGCAAATCTAGAAAGCACTGCAGAGTTTGTATTAGTGTTTTAGCAGGAACAGCTATTCTGAAAGGCTGTAATGAAAAGAAGTACAGTTGGGTTCTCAAGCTCCTTTTAGATACCTTCCACCTCTGCCCTAATATAGGCAGCTGTCTCCAAATGTTTCTTTCCCTGGCTATTCAAGGAGTCTCATTTGGGTAACTCTCCAATCATTAATGCAATTATCATTTAGATCCTATCTATACTAAATGTTGTCTCCACTCCTGTTTGTAAAGCTCTTATCATCTAGTTTGCAATATTGGACTTGCTCAAACATGGCTCACCATCCAACAGTAAATGGAGCCAATACTTATTGAGCCTAATGGTTCTTATATTATAGCCACATCCTCATTAAGAGAAAATGGTGCAAAATTTTTGAGAAAAACATTACTTAAAGATTTTTGAACTATATTTATGAAGTTAGTGATGGTCAACTTTAGTGAAGAATTTTTTAATGACAGGAAAGGCTATTTGTTTTTCTTTACTTTTTTACACCTGCTACTCACTCCACACTTCACATAGAAAGGACCTCTCCTTTATTTGTATGTCATCTTCACCTGGACAAACCACTATCATAATGTTTATCTGAATACAAATAATGTCCTTGCCTAGTTAATCCTCATCACCTATTTCAATGTATGACAAAGAGTAGCCGTTCAATAATCTTTACTTAAAAGAATAAAATAGGAGGGCAAAAATACCATCATAAGATGAGAGTCAAACAATTTTGACTAAGTTAAGTTTTTATTTTGTCATTTACATATTTTTCTTGAGAATATTAAAAAATTTATTAGTAATTCTGACATCTATGTATCACAGGTAGGAAGATGCCAACATTTTAATTTTAGCTGAATTTTCTTTAATTTACCCAATTACCCAAGTGGATCTTCAACTTTTCAGGGACTTGGAATAATGATAGTTTCTATTACTTGGAATTGTATTTATTTATTTTTCTTTGTTGTCCTTTTTTAATTGGAATTGACTCAATTGCTTTTTTTCTTTCTTTTTTCTCCTTTCCTCTCAGTGTTGAATTTTTTGAGTTTATGTATACATTTATGTACAAGTGAACTTTTATTGTTCCTCTACAAGGAGTGGTACTAATACCTTAAAATAATGTTTAAGAATGTGCAGAGGAATTTCTAATTGTCAGACTATCTGGGAATATTACTAGTATTTCAATTCCAGGATCTGGGGATAATACATTTCCTGTACTACAGGTAACTGTCTTGTAAAATGAAGAATTTCACCCTGCTAAAATTTTAAAAGTGTTCCGATTGAAAGAATTTCACAGGATCTTAAAATGGAAATCAACATTTATTGAACATCTATACTGTGAAATTTATTGTATTTGAACTTTGGAGGTAGAGAAGGATGTGGGGAGATGCACAAAGGGTGTAACTTCTTATTCTATAAAAGTTTAAAATCCACTGAGATTATAGAGGACACGACAGCTAGAAATATTTAAATTAATACGTTCAGAAGGTTTACCCTTACTTACCATTGCCCGTCTGACCACCTTACGACCTGAACTATTCAGTGAGTCAATGCAAGTGATGTGTGACAAAGATGAGGACAAAAAACATGAGTTTTTGAGGGACCTCAAATGGAACACTAAGATCATAGAAGATTTCTTTTTGTAGCGCTGTGCTTATCTTAAACAAGGGTATCCTCAGGAATATTAGAGGTTATGTTGCTGGCATTGGACACTATGAGAATAGGGAGCACATCTGACACAACTTCTTGGAGCATTTTACTAGACAGCTATTTTATAAACTTTTATGTTAAACGCAAACATTGTTACCAATTACATTACAAAATTCATATGAGTTTTAAACATAAAGGTGGTGACTGTGAAGACATTTAATTATTATGACAAGCTGCTTAAAGTTATATTCTTAGACGTTTTAGACTATAGGTCGTGTGTTTATTCTCTGTTGTAGAAGGACATTTGGCAGAAAATTTTAAGAACACTGGAATTAGCTGATGGCCTTCTAATCAAGAGATTCATTGTGAAAAATAAGTCTGCATCCAAGACTAGCAGAATGGAACAGTGAGTGCCAACGAGCCACTTCAGTATTAGTCAACCCAATCCTCAGCTGTCTTCCATTATGCTAGAATTGCTATGTTCACCAAAGAAGGGTTGATAAATGGGTTATAAAAAGAGTTGAGATTGGACTATCTCTCTGAGATTTGGAGGCCCTCTATGATGAATCAGGGGAACTTTTAAAAAGACAGTAAGCTCAGTCCCCCAAATCACTTTTCCAAGGGGAATAGGCGTTCTTTTCAGTACAGAACCCAAATACTTAAAAATAGGAGTATCACTGACAACCTTCAGCATGAAGTTGCTCGAAACATAAATAGCTTTTAGAAAGAAGGAACACTGGGGGACTTCTGGATAAATTGGGGTGACAATGCAGAGTATGGTTGCCTAGTACCTGTGCATTGCTTGGATGAATCTAACAAAAAATTATATAGGACTTGTAAATTAATAATTAATGACTACTGATTGAAAAATGATGATTGAATAATGTTAAATGAAACTGACAATTACTCAAATAATACCAATGAGTAAAGCATCAAAAGTAATTGTCTACTAAGACTTGTTTTTCTTAAATATTACCAAAATTTACTAACAATAAAAAAAGTGGGAAGATGCTCAAAATCCATATAATTTTGTGTATAAGTACTTACACAGAGCTACTCAGATGGGAATGGACATTGTATAGACTTACACTGTAGTTCTAAAAGTTATATTTTTCTTTATTATTTGGGTAGTTAATTTTTTCCATTATATATATATTTTACATTCAATATGTTGATGAAATACTTGGAAACTTTAAAATAATTTCTGAAAGATGGAGGCTCCTGGGTGTAGATGAACTTCTTCTATGGAAAAGTGACAGATTTTAAATCTTACAATCAGATCAGTAGTTCACGGGACATCTGATATTTTATTTTAAATTATTCTTTTTAAAAATGATGTAATAGCAATTCTTCAGATAAAAAATTCCATGGTCAGCTGGGAATTGCAGAGAGGACTGATCTGTTATATCTTGTTTATCATTAATAATTCAACATTGATATTATTATTAATTTCCTTTAGTTTTGTTAAATCTAGAATAAAAGCCTTCTTCCGAAGGCTTTTGCAAGAAATAAATGAAGTAAGTAAATACCAAGCATAGTATGCTTACAAAGTAAATACACAATAAACAGAAGCCATTATTAAAAAGAGGTTATTCTGACTCCTTTCTCTCTTTGATATTCCCTAGGAAAGAACAAAAAAATTGCCCATTTATATTATCAGTACTGATTCCACCTTTCTAGAATATTTTGTGGTCTATGGATTCTATATTTTTTCCTACCATGCAGCTTAAGCAACTAGAAGCTGTTTATACTTCAAAATTAGCTAAATCAAGAACTTTGCAAGATGCTGTCATTTATAATTCAATGTGTTTATTTTCTGTGTACCCACTTGTATTTTGAATATTTGCATGCATCTGCAAACTATAACAATCAAAAGATATTTAACAATGACCTATTTTGAGTCAGTCGCCATGTTGGTTACTGGGAAGGCAGCAGGATTAAGGCGTGACTCTGTCTTCTAAGATCCCACCAGTGGAAACTGGTATATTAGACAGGGAAGATGAGATTAGAAGCTTAAAGAGAAATTTTAAATATAATAGCAACTATAAGAAATATATACAATATGTCTGAATAGCAAAGAATAACAGCATCTATCTCAGCTTACATGTCTGTGTAGGATGGGAAGGGGGAAATTTGTAGAGATGATTGTTTGGAGATCCTGTATCTTAAGAGTAAAAAGGATTTAGTCTGGGGGAAAGGAAACTAGTCTATCTTAGAATGATCTGTTGTAAATTTTTTCAGTATTGCCAAATCCAGTTGTTTCTTTCTCATTACCTATGCTCTTTCATTACCTACGATCACTCATGCCAACAAATAAGTTATCAGCTTTACAGTAAAGCTTATGTATAATTCCTTAAGTTACATGTTATTAAATTGAACTAAGACATATTATCCTGATTGACCTTAGCAAGTAACCTATGCAAGCTTGCCAATTATCTGGAGTAATCTTGGAGACAAGTCCCCCAAATCTTATAATGATAATTTAAAAGAAAAAAAATCAGATTTCTAGTCTTTCCTAGACTCTGACCATCAAACTCACTATCCCAAACTTCAGATTAAGTATGGTGGATGCTGTGCAAAATCCATTCTCATAGCAGGTGGCAGCAGCAGTGGCAGTAGCACCTAGTTTTGCAGCATTTATGACTGTGAAAACAATGGCATTTAATGTTCTGCAGCAGAAGCTGAGGTTACTACAGATGTGACTACTTAGTTTTCCTTAAATTCCTGCCTATGTCGCAAGTTTTATTGAAGAACTTTTCTTGAAATGTGGCAAGCCTCCCAAAATTTTCAATCAATGTCTTGAATTGTTATAGCAGAAGAATAGCTTTGTTGTTTGAAAATAACAGCCAAGAAAGACTAAGAGGATCTTGGATAGTTTTTATTAAATTCATACCCTCCACATACAGCTATGCCAAATATAGGAGGGAATGTTCCAGACAAATCCTGCAAACTTGTGCCAGGTATTTGTGACTAGCAAGTAGATATTTCAGACTTCTCTAGGTCCATGCCTGTGGTGCTAACATTAGTCTTCAGTAGATGTTTTAAAAGGTTTTATTCTACTACATTTGTCCTAAAGAAGACCCAAGGAAAGTAATTTATACACATGCTATCTATTAAGGTTTACTCCTGCCAGCCTTTGTAGTGGGAGCAATGAGAATTAAAATTAACAGATGCCAGAGTGACTAACTGTAACAATTAATATTTATTGAATTGCTACTATTTGTGAAGTACTATGTTAAATGAATTATACGAATTAATCTCACTTAATCCTTAGTCAACCCTATAAAGAAGGTACTGCTATCTTTGTTTTATAGGTGATAAAATTTATAATTAGATATAAATAATATACCTAAAACCAAGCAGATGTAAGTGAAATAGCCAGTTTTTGAACCAAAGGTTGATTTTTCAGCACCTGAACTCTTGTTGAATTATTCACTGGCAAGTGTCAGGCTTCTGTGTCATCTTCATCTTCCACCAAGATGATTCTTCTTTCACAGCTAAGCTCAGAAGTATGTGTTTATTTGTATTAGGAAGTTATTACTCTGAACTTAATTAGAAAATTATTTTGCTTTTTCCTAATAATATTGCATCATTCTAACGTTGGTGATTGGTTTTATTTAGTCAGTAGAAAGGAGACAAAGTGAACTGCAATTTTGCACGCCAAAATCAACTATCCTTAATTCAAGCATGCACAAGTAATTCCTAATCAAATTTTAAACAATTGCTCTGGCCTATTTTCAGTAAAGTAAAATGAAGGTCTAAGTGAAAATTATTTTTAGTTTCTCCTTGCATAAAATTGATGAACTGATTGCTTAAACTTTAATGAATATTAATAATATCTCATACAAAAACACTTTGTGTCTATGATAAATATCTTACTAAAACTGAGGAGAAATGGGGTAAAGATATTCTTATATTTATTATCCATGATTCTACCCTATTGTGAAGACACAGGAAATAAAGTTTTCACCATCCAGGAAGAATCTAATCTATCCTCATAGTGAATTTATCGATTTTTTCACAAGAAATTATATAGTAATCAAGGATTTTAATGGTGGAAAGGTAGAAAATAATTTTTCAGAACTGAAAAACTATGAGTAAAAGGTGCTATGTGCTATAACAGCAACACTTTTTAAAACATGAAACACTATTTGTGAAACACTGGTAACATACAGATATGCAAAAACTCTTGACTCTTTGATGAAATGAACTCTGTGACCCAATGGTATTGAAGAACTGTCAGGAACCAGTGAGATGGCAACTGAGAAAAATGTCACAACACAGATGGAATCTTACAGTGATTTTCTTAAGGGGATATTAAAATATTGGGATTGAGTGACTTAAGCAAATCCCAAAGGAATATCAGTCTCTCAACATGAACATGCTTCTCTGTGAAGGGCTTAGAAATATTAAACTCTGTGATAAACAAAACAATACCCCATGAGACAGTTCTCTATTTAACTTCTGAGAAGACACATAGTGTGTCCCTCAGAGAAAATTAGGTTAAAAAAAAAACCTTCATTCCAAGATTTACTTTACTACAAGTTACTGATGTTTATTTAGACAATGTAAGAAAAAGGTAATAGGTGAGTTAAGACATGACTGCTACCTGTGTAATACAATGATAGCTCATGGAGTGGTTTTCGAAATAGCTAGCTTAAAATCAAATTTGAGTTAAATGCTACTTCACTACAAACAGCCATAAAAAAAAATTCTCAACTTTCTAAGACTAATTATTTATTGAATAGCTACTACAGAAAATCACAGCTTGGAAAGACAGGAAGCAGGTGGCAAACCTCAAATCTTTCCAAGAAAAAGAAAAATTTATAGGGATTATCACCGAGACTTAAAATTGAATTTAGAAAACTTAACTGAGCATATATTATGTACACAATACTGTGCTAGGTGCTGGCACTTACGTATGTATTTTTTTAAGTTTCACAACATTGCACATTTATTAGCATGCATTAATATAAAAATTGATCATTAACACAGTGTAGACTGAAAATCAGTGCCTTACTTCAACAAACAACTTAACCTATACTTTAAAAAGGCAAACTATAAGATGTTGATTAAATAGTTAACAAATACAAATAACATATGGCAATATGTAATAATTTTAGGGTAACAATAAGCTTGTCCTTACCATTCTACCATTTCTGCCGTTAATTGCTGTTGTAGAAATCTGAGCATAGCAGGTGCTGTTGGAAGTGTGACTCTTGATGAATGTGCACACACCAGCTGATGCCGAAAACCACGTGCCTTCTGCATGTGAACACCTTGTGAAAATGCCTTTTGCTTCGTTTCAGGCCTTTAGGGAAGTGAGGGACATTTTTTTGCCCGAATATGTTTAGGAAGTATTTCTAAATGTAATAAAACTGTTATTCCCAATGTTAATTTTAAATGCTTTTAATTGCATACAAATTATAGTAAAAGAGCTTTACTTTTTAACCCCATTGATGCCTGCTGTATTTGGGCGGACAAGAGCAGGTACTAGTCTCAAAAGTTGTCATCTTAGATATTTCAGATAGATTAGAAGGCCTTCTGGGCAGGAAAGACAGACAGTCTAGAAGTTGTGAAAGAGTAGCAGAATGTGTCTGCAAATAGCAATTAAAGAAATAGTTGAGGGGACATGGATGAGAATAGATATTGTAAGTGTTCTGGTTCTTAAAGAAAATTTGCCATTTCAATTAGGGCAGACTTAGCTCCAAAACTCCGGATATGTTTTTTTGAAGTTTATGAAAGAGATTGAGACGATTTTACCCATCAGCCCTCATTCTCCATATAAGAAAATATTCTCTGCATAAATCAAAGAAGGTTTGGCAATGTTTTTCCTTTTTGGTATGAGAAATGGGACTCACATGTCACATAGACACCAGAAGGATAGCAAATTTCATCTGGCTGTCAAAATTTACTTTTGTTATTAACAAAGAGGCCTCCTGTCCACCAAGGAGACCTCATTTGTAGATTTGGCAAAGTATGGCACAATCTGTGCTTTAAAAACATAGAATTTAAAAAAGAACTAAAAATAATTAGTTACCAACATCTAAAAGTCAGTGGCATTTATTTAAAAAAATAGTGATATCTGACTTCCCTTAAAACATTAGACAGATTATCAAGACTTAGCTTTTATTGCTACATGGTATTATATCCAAATCTTTCTGATTTCTTATTGTGTTCTCGATATCAAAGCACTTTGGTCAGTTCCTACTTATCATATTTCCACTGTTGTGCTCTATTGGAGAACTTAGAAGAAAATAAAGTATATTTTGGACCCATGCATTACTAAATGTTGAAAAATTAAAGATGGACCATGAAGGCTGTAATTTCTATTTGTTGTGGTAGTTAATTTTGTGACTTTTGTGAACATTCATTATTGTGTGTATAAGATATATATAATGAATATACATTATATTCCTCATGAGGGCTCGAATTGCTTCTTATTTTTTATTTCTGCTCTTCCAATTTTGTTCTAGTGCTGAGTATAAATCAGACACAGGTAGAAAACGTGTGTTGAGTAAATACATAGTAACTTTGCAAATAGAAAAGAGGGTGAATGATCTCAAGGGAGGCGTCACCTGGGGTGTAGTAAAATGTTTTGTAATGACTACAAATTGATTCAGCTAGAAATTAAATAGATCTCTTTGGAATAATACAGTCAATCCTTGCACAATACTGGGGTTAGGGACACTTACCCTTGCACAGTAGAAAATCTGTGTACATCTTTTGACTCCCCAAAAATTTAACTGCTAATAGCCTACTTGATCGGAAGGCTTACTGATAACATAAATAACACATATTTTATATCTTGCATGTATTATATAATGTATTCTTACAATAAAGTAAGAGAGAAAAGAAATAGGGAAAAGAAAATGTTCTTTAAAAAATTGTGAGAAAAAATCATATATTTACTATTCATTAAGCAGAGTGGATCATCATAAAGGTCTTCATCCTTGTTATCTTCACCTTGACTAGGCTGAGAATGAGGAGGAACAGGAGGGGTAGCCTTGTGGTCTCAGCGGTGTCACAGGCAGAAGAAAATACCCATATGAGTGGACCTGCACAGTTCAAATCCATGTTGCTTGAGGGTCAACTGTTCCGGCAGAACATTAACACATTTAACATTTTTCCTTTATCATAGTTTCTATCACTAATCTTTCATGTGGCAAACCATTTCTTTAGAAAAAAAGGACAATGCTCTCAAGTAGCCTTTACAGTGTGAAGCTGGGTAGAGATTAAACATGGTGATTAATAACAATTTAGCCCATGGTAACAGACCCCAGGAACACGGTAGAGCAAGATTAGTAGGAGACACTAAATCAATTAAGAATTCTAGAGTCCAGAAAGGAAGAAAATATATTGGAAAATAGGATTTATAGTTCCTTTCCAGGAGGCAAGATCCAGGAACAGTTTTAAGGTTTAATTCTGTGTTTTGTTTGGTTTTGTTCATCTAGGGTTGCTTGAACGCACATGTATGAAACCAAAATCTTAAAGATACTAATCTGCACTTAATTTAGGAAATTGAATGTGAATGCATTTAAGTTATGATTTCTAATAATATGCCTTGATTAGACTTGTACAGAAAGCATGTTTCCTTGACTGGATTTATGGAAAACACTGATTTCTATTATTATAGTAGAATATACTCTGTTTTGACCAGGTACACAATATTAAATATTTCAGATAGTGATGGTCTACCAGTAACCAATATTACTCATATTACAGCAATTTATACTTCTTTTGATTATAATGAACGACTTCTGCTTGTATCTGCAAATATGTAGGAAATATCTTATGAAATGTGTTCTCGTCATTTATATTTTATTTAACAATATTTACATTGATTTCAGAAAAAAGTTTCAACATTATTTTGATAAATTCTTGTTAAGTAGAAGAACTTCTACACTAATGCATAAGGATATACATGCTACTTTTCAAGATTCACAACTAATAATGAGCTTGTTTTCAGATTCATGGGAATGACATGAAATGAACTTCCTGAATACCTTTGTTAATTTTCTGCCTCAGTGATCTGCCCAATACTATGAGTGAAATGTGGAGGTCTCCCACTATTAATGCATGGGAGTCTAAGTCTCTTTGAAGGTCTCTAATAACTTGATTTATGAATCTGGGTGCTCCTGTGTGGGGTGCATATATATTTAGGATAGTTACGTCTTCTTGTTGAATTGAAGCTTTTTCCAATATGTCATGCCCTTCTTTCTCTTTTCTGATCTTTTTTTGGTTTAAAATCTATTTTGTCTGAAATTAGGATTACATCTCCTGCTTTTTTCTGCTCTCCACTTGCTTGGTCGAGTGTTCTCCATCCCTATATTTTGAACCTACGTGTGTCATTGTATGCTAGATGTGTCTTTGAAGACAGCATACCAATGCGTCTTGGTTCTTTATCCAGATTGCCACTCTATACTTTTTAATTGGGGCATTTAGCCCATTTCCATTCAAGGTTAGTATGATATGTGTGGATTTGATCCTGTCACCATGATGTTAGCTTGTTTGTATGGTTTCTTTATAGTGTCACTGATCTTTGTCCTTAGGTGTGTTTTTGTAGTGGCTGGTAATGGTCTTTTCTTTCCATGTTTAGGGTTTTCTTCAGGAGCTCTTGTATGGTGGGTCTGTTTGTAATGAGTTCCCTCAGCATTTACTTGTCTGAAAAGGATCTTATTTATCCTTCACTTATGAAGCTTAGTCTAACCAGATATGAAATTCTTGGTTGGAATTTTTTCTTTAATAACGTCAAATGTTGAATATTGGCCCCCAATTTATTCTGGCTTGTAAGGTTTCTGCTGAGAGGTCTGTTGTTAGTCTGATAGGCTTCCCTTTGTAAGTGACCTAACCTTTCTCTCTAGCTGCCTTTAACATTTCTTTCTTTCATTTTGTCCTTGGAGAATCTGATAATTATATGTCTTTGAGATGATCTTGTGAAGTATATTACTGTGGTTCTCTGCATTTCCTAAATTTGAATGATGGCCTCTCTAGCTAGGTTGGGGAAGTTTTCATGGATGATATCGTGAAATATATATTCCAAGTTACTTCCATTCTTCCCATCTCCTTCAGGGACACCACTGAGTTGTAAATTTCGTTTCTTTACGTAATACAATATGCCTGAGAGGTTTTGTTTCTTCCCTTTTGTTCTTTTTTTCTTGATTCTTTTCTGACTGTCTCATATTAAAAAACCAGCCTTCAAGCTCTGAGACTCTTTACTCAGCTTTGTCTGTAATACCTGTGATTGCATTATGAAATTCTTGTGTGCCTTTCAGCTCTAATCAGGTCTGTTATGTTATTTTCTATACTAGCTAATTTTTCTGTGAGCTCCTGTATGATTTTACTGTGATTCTTAGCTTCCTTGGATTGAGTTTCAACATACTCTTGCATTTTAATGATCTTCATTTCTATCCAGATTTGAATTCTATTTCTGTCATTTCAGCCATCTCAGCCTGGTTCAGAGCCCTTGCTGGAGAGCTAGTACAGTAATTTGGAGGAAATAAGCCATGCTGGCTATTAGAGTTGTCAGTGTTCCTGCATTGGTTCTTTTTCATCTTTGTGGGCTGATGTTTCTTCAATCGTTGAAGTTGGTGTCCTTAGGATTCTTTTTTTTCTTTTCTGCTTGATGAACTCGAGGGTTTGATTGTGGTTGTGGTATAAGGTTGGTTCAGTTAACTGGCTTTATTTCTGGAAGATTTTAGAGGGCCAAGGCTCAGCTCCCAACTCCTAGACTATGTGCTCTAACACTGTGGAACTAGTAACCGGAGGGATCTTGTTCTCTGGCTCTTTGAGGTTAGGAATCCACTGTGCGGAGGTTCCTAGACCAAAGGCAGCAGCAGCACAGGGATATGCACGCGCCTCAGCTGCAGCTGAGGCAGAGGGTGGCGGGGGAGGGGACTAGAGCCCCCTGCTGGTGACTATGTGTGTGGTCACTCTGGTGGTTGTGTTAGCACGGGGGTGGGGCGCTGGCGGGCACAGGTCTGTGTGTGCCCTCTGCTCTGTGTAGGGGAAGGTCCATTGTTTTCCATGCCTAGTTTTCACTCCATAAGCAGTGCTGGCTCGGGCTGGACGCTGGTGGGGTGGGGTTGGTGGGCTCTTTGCCAGGCGAGGCTCCTACTACAATGGCTTTATGATGTGTGCTGGGGGTGGGATGGAATGCACTCACTCCAGCAGCAGTGGCAGGACAGGGTACACACCTACATGGCGTTGGTGAGGCAGGGAAAACAATATCCATCTGCAGGTACACCCACCCCAAAAGTGATGTGAGCAGTGGCTGTGGGCCTGGAAGGAAGCTGCAGTGGGGGAACGAAGCAAGCAGACTGGTGCCTGTCCCTGGGGTCTGTTAAGCTGGAGCTCTCTGCCAGTCAGGCATGGTAAGCTAGAGTGTAGGAACTATGATGTGGACCCCCAGAGCACCCGAGGCTGCACTGCAAGGGAGTCCCAGGAGAGTTCATTAGGCCAAGGGGAGTTTAGGTCGAATGGCCCAGTGCAATGGACAAGAGCACCTGCAGAGTTCAGGTCACACTGTTCCCCTAAAACTAAAGTCTCCTATGGGAGCAAGTTGAGCCTAGGGGCATGGGTGTCCTTGGCCATGCTTCACTACAGACGGTCCTTCAATGAACCCTCTGGGCTCCACAGTTACAGGAGTACTGCCCCTACCACTTCTCTAATCAGCTCTTTCTGTCTGTGGTGGTTGAGGGGTCTCCTCCTGCCAGGGTTCCAGAGACTTGTAGCTGGAGCAGGTTGCTCCTTGCTAGTTCAACTAACCCATTTCCCTGAAGCTGTTGGGAGCCAGAAAGGAATCCTTGGGCATGGTAATCCTGTGCAGAATTTTCAGCTTCTTCCCCCTTCAGCCCAGCTTCTGTATCTTCCCTCTGTTCATTCTCAGTGCCTTTCTCTCTCAAATCTATCCGCTGCAAAATCCCTTCACTAAAAGCTATACGAATGCAATAGTCCAGCATTACATTACCTCTTACTTACTTCAAGTGTAATTGCTTCTTAACTAGCTGGTCTTGCTGTTTACTCATTTCTAGTACATCAATTTTAGATTAGTGTCCTTGAAATTTAAGGTCTGCCTATAATGAAATAGAAGATCATGTGATGTATAAAGATCAAAATTATTTAAAGACAAGAAGGTGTTCAATGAATGTGAGTTTGATGTGGATTAAAATGGCAAATAAGGGAGTAAGGAAAAGGGATTGGGGAGGGGGTTAAGGTAACTGATTCAAAAGTAAAGTTGTCTAATAAGTTGTTTGTCTATATTAACTAGAAAATAAGTGAATATTATCAGCCATAAATAAATACACACACAGATACACAAACACACACACTCAAACAGAACCTTAGAGGGTGATAGTAAAGGGAGTGTCTCAAAGTTTCACAGGGAGTCGGTGAACAAATAAAACAATACAAATATTTTATATAAGGGCTTCCAGAGCCTTGGATTGTCAATGAAGAAAATATATTATCTAAGATGAAGATCTCTAGGGACTCCTTGTATTGAATGTTCACGGTACACAGTAGTTGCTCCACCATTACAACAATCTTAGCAGAGCAAACAGAAGGGTAAAAATAGAATAATGAATAGGTGGGAAGATAAATTGGGAAAAAAACAAAAAAAAAATGAAGACTGGTTGTTTTGTATGCAGGGATTTATTGTTTAAAGATTATGCATAAAGTCAACAGAAATGAAAGAAAAGTAAGACTGTAAGATGGGCTAGAAGGACTCCATACTCTCAGGGAGAAAGACAGTGTCACCTGGACAAAATCAGCTTCAAAGTTTTCACCCTCCTGTGCAGGTCCTTAAGTTATTCAGTTTCATGGTGACATGCATATAGTGAGTGCTCACATTGTTTAAGTGAGAAAATAAATAAATGACTATAGATGGGTAAATGGACAAGTTCTTCACTGTTTTAGTGAGGCACTATTGCTTATGCCTCCATTCACTGAGCCCAAGATCTAACTTTCTGCTCCGTAGAGTGGGAAAAATAAATGAATTTCTCAAAGGAAAGTTTTCTATAATACGCTTGTTAAGAAATGTAAGGCCATTATCATAAAGTGAAGACCATCAAAAATACATAAATTTAAGACTAGCAGAGAAAAATATTGAAGTGTTTGAAGAAATATTAGATGAAATGACACTTGCACAGTGCCTACATAAATTTAAATCGTTTGTCATAGGATTCAGATGTTAGAACATATATTTTTAAAATGTTTTCTTTTTACAATATTATATGTCTATTATTCTAATCATGGATATTAAAAAGTGATGTTAGCATATCTATTTTAATCTGAATTAATTTATGGCATTCTTAACATAAAGTTCCAAGTGAAATTCAAAAGCATCATTCTCTTTCGAGAAGAGATACATTGACATTCTAAATTTTCAGACATGTTATTATATGAATTTACCTATATAAAATTAGAGTATTGAACAATTACAAATTGAATATTAAATAAAAATATCATGTGGGATTTTCAGGTAAGGTAGAAATAACCTTTTTTGGTTAATTTATCAAGATATAGCTATAAATTTTCTCCAATCCATTGTCCACGTATAAGCCTATTACAATGAGACAGAATTCTCTTTGTTTAGAATTTTTAAGTCTTTGGAATGGAATTGGTGATGGCATATCTTCGGAGAGCTTTGAAAAGATACTCTGATTTCTTAAATGCCCTTCTACTTCTGCTTTTGTTTATACTAACACCACCTATCTTCAAAACCAACTGAAGATTCACCTCTTCATAAACCTTCCCTTACACAATAGGCCTGTTAAAGTTAATAACCATTTCATTGTGGTTTCATTATGATTCCTCTGCAAATATCTTCCATTAACGGTGTGTACAATCCTTGGGATTTTGATAGGGATTTCATTAAATCTATAGATTGCATTGAGTAGTATGGTCTTTTCAACAATATTAAAATTTTTAATCCATGAACACAGGATGCATTTCAATTTATTTGTTTCCACTTTAATCCATCAATACTTTGTAGCTTTCAGTACACAAGTTTTTACCTCCTTAGTTAATTTTATTCCTAGGTATTTTACTCTTTTTGGTATTATTGGAAATGATGTTGTTTTTCAAATTTCCTTTTCAGATAGTTCATTGTTGATTAAGAAATGCAACTGATTTCTGTATGATAATTTTGTATCCTGCAACTTCACTGAATTCATCTATTAGTTCTAACAGTATTTGGGTGGTTTCTATATATATGAGCATGTCATCCGCAAAAATGGATAATTTTATTTCTTACTTTCTGATTTAGATGCTATGTATTTCTTTCTCTTGCCCTATTGCTCTGACTAGGCGTTCCAGTACTATATGGACTAGAAGTGATGAGAGTGAGCATTTTTACCTCATTCCTGGAAAATTTTACAGAAATAGAAAAAACAATTCTAAAATTCACATTGAACTGCAAAAAACCACAAATAGCCAAATCAATCTTGATAAAGAATAACAAAGCTGACTGTATTACATTTTTATTTTAAAATATCTTACAAAGCTACAATAACCAAAATACATACGGACAGATATATGGACCAGTGAAACAAATTAGTAAGCCCAGAAGGAAACCCACATACATATGGTAAAGTTATTTTCAGTAAGGTTATCAATATTATACAATAGGGAAAGAGTTCAACAAATGATGTAGGCAAATTAGATATCAATATACAAAAGGATGAACTTGGAGCCTCATCTTACTTCATATACAAATCCACTCAAAATGGACTGAAAACACTTAGATGCTAAAACCCCAAACTGTAAAATATTTACAAGAGAATATAAGGGAAATGCTTCATGACATAGGTCTTGGCAGTGATTTTATGCACATGATAACAAAAGCACAGACAATAAAAACAAACAAGGGACTATATCATACTAAAAGTATCTGTACAGCGAAGAATATAACAAAGTGAATAGATAACCTGAAGAATTGCAAAATTACTTGATAACCAAACATCTGATAAATAAGAGGTTAATTTCCAAAGTATATAACTTCTACAACTCAGTATTTTTAAAAGAACACTAATATAATTAAAAATGGGCTACGGACTTCAATTGATATTCCTCCAAAGAAGATATACAAATGACCAACCTGTATGTGAAAAACTGCTTAACAGTAATCATCAGGGAAATGCAAGTCAAAATCTAAATGAGGTATCACTTCACACCTGTCAGGATACCTATTTTTAAAAATAAAAGACAAGAATTAGTGAGAATGCAGAAAAAACTGAAACTCTTGCATAGTATTGGGTGAGAATGCAAAATGCTGTAGCTGCTATGGAAAACAGAATGTGCTTCCTCAAAAAGTTAAAAATAGAACTACTATATGATGTGGCAATCCTACTGTTAGGTATATATCCAAAAGAATTGGGTCGGGCGTGGTGGCTCACGCCTGTAATCCCAGCACTTTGGGAGGCCGAAGCGAGCGAATCACCTGAGGTCAGCAGTTCGAGACCAGCCTGACCAACATAGAGAAACCTCATCTCTACTAAAAATACAAAATTAGCTGGGCATGGTGGCGCATGGCTGTAGTCCCAGCTACTCGTGAGGCTGAAGCAGAAGAATCGCTTGAACCCGGGAGGCACAGGTTGTGGTTAGCCAAGATCGCACCATTGCACTCCAGCCTGGGCAACAAGAGTGAAACTCTATCTCAAAAATAAATAAATAAATAAATAAATAATAAATAAATAAATTAAATTAAAAAGAAAGAATTGAAATCAGATCTTGAAGAGATACATTACTCTGATGTCATTGCAGGATTATGCACACTAGCCATGATGTGGAAACAACCTAAATGTCCATCAAAAGATGAATGAATAAAATGTGGGATACACATACAAGCAAATACTATTCAGTTTTTAAAAAAGAAGGGATTTTTGCAATATGTGACAGAATACATGAATCTTGAGGACATTATACTAAGTGAAATGGGCCATTTAACAGAAAGACAAATATTGCATGATTCTGCTTATATAAGGTATCTAAAATGTCAAATTTGTGGAATCAAGAGTGGAATGTTGGCTATAGGGTCAATGATGGGGAGACTGATATTTGGGAGAAAGTAAATAGTCACCAATGAATGGGTGTAAAGTTCTGTTAAGCAAGATAAATATGCCCTACAAATCTGCTATACAATGTTGTACATATAGTCTACAATAATGTATTGTACACCTTAAGATTTGTTAAGAGGGTGGGTATCATGTAAACTGTCCTTACCATGTGTGGTCATTCCTCAGTTTTTTTTCCTTGAGAATGGAAGCATTCATTCCTCAGGTGCCCACAAGAATTTCCCCTGGAATCAGATGAAGTCTCAATTGCACCTGCATTATAATTAAAAAATCTCTCTCTGACCAGTCCTGCTCTGCTCATTCCAGTATAAGAATTAATTAGTAAAGCACTCCCCAATAAAGTTTCTGCATGAAAAGGTCATAGTTTCAGAGTCTGTTTTCTGAGGAGCCTAATCCTAGATAGCTCCCTTTAAAACCAAAGCATCCAATAATCTTAGACAGCTGACAGAATGAGAAAGAGGTCTATTGTTTATCTAGACATTGTGATAAGTGATTTACCCACTTCATTTTCCCCATTACTCTTAATAAATCTGAGGTAAAGCTCTTCTAAAACACTAATTTCCAAAGAGTTATTCCTATATATAATTGATAGAGCATGGTTTCAGCCATTCCAGGCTATGGATTCATATGCAACAAAGAAGATTTTGTGTCATTTCTTAGACCTTTAAAACTAGGCATCCTCTTCTTCCTAGCAACTCTAGTTTATATGGAATGTTTTTAATCTTCTACATAAAACATGACTTTAATTA
The DNA here is from genome assembly GCF_000001405.40 of Homo sapiens. Classification (NCBI taxonomy): domain Eukaryota; kingdom Metazoa; phylum Chordata; class Mammalia; order Primates; family Hominidae; genus Homo; species Homo sapiens. The sequence continues at coordinate 64,497 of NW_013171805.1, forward strand.
AAAATCCCTTGGTAAATCAGTTTATATTTTTTCTTGATAATCCCAGAAAACTTCTCTATCAGCATTCACATTCTGTGAGCACACTGCTGTGTACAATTAAACACACTTTCAAATTATGAAAACATAATTCTTTCCTATCTGAGCCTGGCTACTAACATTTTATCAGAGGTCCCCTTACCATATTTGGACTTTAATATTTTTCAACAAATTGATGGCCTTCTCATGAATTAACTTGAGAAAAAACAACATTGATGTTGATTTTCTAGTAATAATATTAAGCCTTTCAAGTAATAAAATTGAAATGGGCTGACATCATTACATGTTACTGAAAGTGCAACATTGCCTTTACTTTTTCTTTGATGAATTACAGTTATGTAGACACGTAACACCACAGCATTTTACATATTGTATGATTAATAGGTTGTTCTTCAAAGAGGTTGCTAATACTGAATACATTATACATGCCAATATGCCTTACGCACTGCCCTCTCACTTCTTTTACTTTTTTAATTATATTGTTTCATTTTTATAATCATTCTATGTCTATTTTTTACTAGCATTTACAGCTACCACTGAATTTATTAGATACAATGAAGTTAATAATGTTTGTGAAATTCCTCAAAACTAAGCACATATAGTAAATGTCTCAACAATGACATCATTGATTCTAGATTATGAATCCTGGTATGCTACACATTGTTTGAAAGCAAAACTGATGCATTGTGCTGTGGAGTAGTGATTTGTTTTATTTCTGATAATTCAGAAGTTGAATTACTAAATTAGAAAAGCTTCTGTAGGAAGTCCTACTTCTGGTATGAGTGTATGAGGACCTCTGTGGAACCCCTCCCCAATGAAACTGCTAAAAATTACTAAAAATATAAGTCATTTAAGGTTTATTGAATTTTATGGAAAAAAATCTAAACATTTTTAAGATGAGAGAGACCCAGTGGTGTCTGAACTAATATCCATGCTCTCCCTTTGCCTTCTCACCTCAGCAACACAGAAAGTTCATTCAAGGGTAGAACAGCCAAGGCACAAGACTACTTTTCCCCCAGTCCAAGTAAGAGGAACATTTTCCTGATATAGGCAACATGTCAGTGTTTTTCATCTTTCCCCCAACTTTCTGCTGCTGAGGCTAAGTTCTAGGTTAGTAAAGCCAAGAGGTGAGGGCTCTCTTCTTCTACCCTATTCCCATTTGTGAGATAGAGGCTTGCCGAATATATTGGGGTCTGATTGTCTTGCTTGGGCTCAAAGAATGGGGTTTCTATAACAGAAAGGCAAATCAGGGAGATCTGAGTTTGTTATGCTTTAAATTCACCAAGAGCTCAGTTTATAAAGTGGGAATTCCACCTCCAAAGAAGGGCACCAAGGTTTTGCTCCTAGAACCCGACCAGTAGTTCAGAGATTTTCCCCAGAGGTAGAAATAGAGACAAGCTGAGAACAGATAGCTCCCATTCCCTATGGTAAAATATTTGAACAGAGAGTTATGTCATAGAATGTGGGGAGGATGGATTCCTCTCACATTAGACTAATTAAAATATTTTGTCTCACCTAAGGCAAACAAAAATTAAACCACTGGAGAATGTTGGTTTAGGGCACAACTTTGAGACAGACCCACTAAAAGAGTGACATTTAATCATAAGATTATAGAAAACTGTTTCTCAGTCACAATTTACCGTGATATCAATGGGGATTCAGTATAGTAACAAAAGATTATAAAAGAAAGACCTGTCAGACAGAGATTCTCTCTGAAGTGTAGTACTTTCGGAAACACAAAGTCAAGAGTGGAGACCAAAATGAAATTAAGAAATTTGAAACCTTTTATACCTACAGTAATAGAAAACAATAAACTGACCTCTTAGCCAGGTTAACATAAACCTTCACACAAACACCTATTTACTTCGTACAAAATACCAGGCTTTCAACAAAAATTTATGAGACATGTTAAAAGACAAAAACTTTTTTTATAAACATAAAAATAGAAAGATAAAATCTGAAGAGACAGAGAAAGAATCATACACCAAATCAAATATGTTGGAATTATCAGGAGAGATTTAAAGCAATTACGATTAGTATGTTAAAGGCTCCAAAGGAAAAAAAAAAGTAGATAATATGGTAGAAGAGATGAGTAATATAAGCAGAGAGAGAAAACCCTAATAAATACTCAAAAGGAAATGCTAAAAATAATGTAAAGAAAATTAAAAAATCCTTCTGATTGGCTCATCAGCAGACTAGCCATGGCAAACAAAAAATAAGTTAGCTTGAAAGAGATCAACAGAAACTTTATAAACTTAAGTGCAAATTTAGAAAAAAGAATTTTATAAAGAAAATGTTTAAGAACTTTGCAGTAATTTCAAAAGGCACAATACATGTATAACTAGAAAAATAGCAAGAGAAGAAACAGCAAAAAGAAAAAAATACTTGAAGTAAAAATAATAATGGACAAGAATTTTCCAAAATTAATGATAGACATCTAACTACAAATTCAGGAAGCTCACAGACCACAAAGCAGGATAAATAACAAAATATCTAAACCTATGTATATCATATCCAAACTGAAGAAAACTAAAAGCAAAGATAAAATTTTAAAAGAAGCCAGAGGAAAAAACCACCATATTATAGAACAAAAATAATAAGAATTACTGTGGACTTTTTATCAAAACCAAGCAAAAATAAGAGTGAAATAAAATATGTGAAATGTTGAAAGAAAATCCTTTTTAAAAAACGCAAAATTCCATATGCAGAGAAGTTATCCTTCAAAAGTAAAAGAGAAATGAAAAATATTCTTATACAAACAAAAACTGAGAGAGTTCATCACCAGCAGAACTGCTTCAAAAGAAATGTTAGATGTTATTCAGGCAAAGTAGAATTATATAGGTCAGAAACTTGTATCTACATTAAAAAAGGCAGAGTATTGGGTAAGGAATAAATTAAATAGGTAGAACTGGAAATACTCTTTAATAATGTGTGCATAATGTGCATTATACAATATTGTGCAATTTGTAAGTGAAGTTAAATTGTGTTATGTAAACCCTAGGGAAAACACTGTTTTAAAAAATGCTATTGATATGCTAAGAGAGATTTATAAAACAAAATCACAAAGTACTCATTTAAAAAAAGAGAAGTCAGAAAAGCAGGGATATAAAAGAATAAATTCAACAAACATAAAAATGTTAAAACACAGTACATATGAATCCAACTGTATTTATAATGAGTATAAATGTGTTAAATACATGAATTAAAGACAAAGATTGAGTGGATAAATAACACCACCTAGAAATATGCTGTGTACACAAAAGCCCACTCTAAATATGAAGACTTGGATAGGTTAAAATAAAGAGATGGAGAAATATAGACTGATAACTTCAATGAAAAGAAAGCTAGAATAACTGTTAATTTCAGACAAAACTAACTTCAGGACAAAGAAAATTATCAGGAATAAACAGAGACTTTTATAATGAAGAAGGGGTTAATTCTTCAAGAAGGCATAACAGTCCTTAACATGCATGTGCCTAACAACATCACCTTAAAAATGATATAGAACTTGAGAAAACTTTAAGGAGCAATACACAAATACATTATTACAATTGGAGAATGCAATAACCCTTTTTTAGTAATTGAAAGATCAAGCAGCCAGAAACTCAAGAAGGATGTGAATGAGCTGAATAGTAAAATCAATCTAATCAATTTAATTTACATTTATAGAATAAACATCATAAAACAGCAGAACACATATTATTCTCCAGCTCACATGAAATATTCACCAAGACAGAGCACATTATGTACCAAAAAGCACACATGAACAAATTCAAACAAAAAATGATAGAAAGTATGCTCTAAGATGAAAATTGGCATAAATTAGAAATACATACAGGAAAGAAAGCTAGAAATCTCCCAAATATTGAAAATGAACAACATACTTCTAAATAATATGTGGGTGAAGGAAAGCATCTCAATAAAAAACAAAAACTAAGACAAAATGAAAATTAATATTTGTGGGATGCACCAAAAGCAACACTAAATTTAAAGGGAAACTTATAGCATTAGATGGGTATATTATAAAAGAAGTTTTCTCTATCTCTCTACAGCCCTTCATCTTTCTCCCCTTTTCTCACTGTATATCTCCCTTCTTCTGTTATGCAAAATAAAAAACCTGATAATAAGAATGATCTAATATCAATAACCTAAATTTCCACCATAGGACACTTGAGAAAAAGAGTAGCTTACTCCCAAACAAGGAGGGGAAAGAAATAAAACAATAAAGCAAAAATCAATTAAATTGAAAATAAGTAAACAATAAAGACAATCAATAAACTTGACAAAAGTCATTTGCTTTCCTATGAAGTACTGAAACTTGGAATTTAAAAAATGCCATTTACAACAGCACCTAAAAAATAAATAGGTATAAATTTAACAAAATATATAAAGAATCTAAGCGTGTAAAACTACAAAGCTGAGTAAGAAAATCAATGAAATTCAAATAAATAGAAAGATATTCCATGTTCATAGAATTTAGAACTCAATATTTTAAGCTGTTAAATTTTCTCAGTGTGATTTATAGTTTTAATACAATCCCAATTAACTTCTAGCAAGCTGTTTTGTAGATACTGACAACTTGATTCTAATGTTTATGGGAAAAAGCAAAAGCCCTAGAATAGCCAACATGACATTGAAGAATAAAGCTGGAGAACTCACACTACCCAATTTCAAAACTTAATACAAAATCACAGTAATAAATGTTATTATTTTATATACATTAATGGAATAGAAAGGAGAGCCCAGAAATAGATTTGCACAAATATCATCAGGTAATCTAACAAAGGAGCAAGAGCAATTCAGTGAAGAAGGAATAAACTTTTCCACATATGCTGTTGGAACAATCAGACTGACCACATGTAAAAAAATAAACCTGCACACAAACCTTAGATCCTCAATATGGATCACAGATCTAAAAGTAAAAAAACAAAGACATAAAACTTCTCTAAGGATAACATAGGAAAAACACATACCATATTTACCTTTGATAATGAGTTTTATATACAACATCAAAACACAATCCATAAAAAAATGGATGCGTAGGAGTTTATTGAATTTAAAACTTCTCTGTTAAAAAGAATACAAAGAGAATGATATAGTAAGCCACACACTGGAAGAGAATATATGTGAAACACGTATTTGGTAAAAGACTTGTATCTAAAATTTTTGAAAAAGTGAAAAAAAAACACAACTTTTAAACACTTCTTAAGAAAACAAACCACCCAACCAATTAAATATGGACATATTTTAAAACAGACACCTCACCAGAAAAGACAGAAAGAGGGCAAATAAGCATATAAAAAAGATGTTCAGTCATTTGTTATTATAAATTAGTTGACACAAAAAATGAGTAACATTACTTTGAGAATGGCAAGAAATGTTAATGTCATTTTCTGGGAGATATATCAAGCAGTAATAACACTCATTCATTGCTAGTAGGGATGCAAAATAATACTGCCACTTGGAAGACTATTTGGCAGATTTTTACAATGATATACATAGTTTTACCATATGACCAGCAACTGCACTTCTGGGTATTTACTCAACTAATTTGTAATGTTATTTCCACATACAAATCTGCGTGTGAAGGTTTACAGCAACTTTATTCATAATCATCCAAAACTGGAAGCACACAAAATTTCCTTCAGTAGAAGAACTGATAAATGTATTGTGGTATATCCATATAACGGTATATTATTTATTCATAAAAAGGAAACAGGAGGGTGTCAGATGTGATGACGGAATGCAGACTATGACAAGAGAATCTAACTGCATTATAAATGTATGACCAACCTCTCTTAAGGGGGTTGGGGGAGCAAGTTTCTAACAACTAAATTTGAAAATGAGAGGAGTCTATAAGACTAAAGGCAAAGCAAAACAAACATAGACGCTGCACTCTAATTTATAATGTTTTTTTGCACATGGTTAGGCTTCAACAATTCCAATACTTTTATTCATGTACTAGAATTGAATAATTAAATAAATATATGTTTGATGACAGGAAACAAGTTTCTCACTGTTGAAGTGTTAAGGTCATATATCTAATCAAGGGAAATAGTGATATTTTTGATACAGTGACATCAGTAAGAATTCATGTTTAGCTTGATGTAAATATAGTCTTACAGATATTTATATATGTGTTATAGGTATGTATTATAGATTGGTGTAAGTATATAGGTTAGGATATGCACATGCATTTCCTTGTACTGTCAGCTCAGAAGTTCTAGATTCAATGACATCTCATAGCAATGAGCAAACCTAGCACCTAGATCTTAGTTTCTAATGTAATTCTCCAGTAATAGGAACTAGAGATCCTTGTCTAGACTATTCTAGGAATGAGGGAGAAAATATAAAAGATAATCTTGAATCATCTTGCATAATAGAAAGTAATAAAGTACTAATAAAACACACACTGTTATGACCTGTATGTATCCTCTCCAAATTCATGTTGAAAGTTAATTGCTGATGTGCTGCTATTAAGAGGTGGGCCTTTAGTGGGTGATTAAGTCATGAAGGCAGAGCCTTCATGGGATTAGTGGCCTTATAAAAGAGGTGCAATGAGCTGTTCTCTCCTTCCACAGGGTAAGGACACAGCTACAAGGTGTCTCTTTGAGGCAGAGAGCAAGCTCATACCAGATGCTGAATATGTCAGCATCTTGATCTTGGATTTCCCAGCCTCCAGAACTGTAAGGAGTATATTTCTGCTGTCCATAAATTTCCCAGATTAATATATTTGTTATAGCATCTCGAATGAGCTAAGACACACACACACACACACACACACACACACACACACACACAGAGAGAGAGAGAGAGAGAGAAAGAGAAAGAGAGAGAGAGAGAGACACGAAGAAACGTTACCTAATCAAAAGGAATTGCACAATAAAACTTCGAACAAACCACTCTCCCCAGTGTCAAAGGAACACAAGATACAATCAAAAGCACTCCCAATGGCCAAAACTGAAACAATCTGAGACAGAATAAAGTAGTTTTGGATTTTAACTCAAAGTCTAAAATAAATATTCACAAATTCATAAGTAACTGATTAAATACACAAATAATTGGGATGTGTGTGTATGTGTGTATGTGTGTGTGTGTGTATGTGTTTGTGTATATTTATATATAATTCAGGCTTGAGCCATATTAATAAGGAAATAGAATATTTTGTTTTTTCTTTTCAATTAAGTTTAGGTGAAGAATGCCAAGGAGTAAGGAATGCCCAGTGATGGGTGGTAGAAGATAATATCTGAAGAAATATGATGAGATTAAACTTATTTTTCTTTATGATTTAGTAAAAGATTTTGAAGTCAAATTGGTACCTGAGGCATTGTAACAAGAAATCAAGACTAGTAAGATATTTGGGTGACAAGACACAATTTTACTTATTTTGTCACAGCAACAAAGAATATTTTATCACTATTAATAGTAATTGTTTATTATGAACAATAAATCATAATAAAATAACATGGAACACTGTAATGCCCTTCACCTCCCCCTTCTCATACCTGAATGGCATATAATCATTTGTCTGGAGCTCATAACTCAGAAGTCAGTAACTTAACAGCCTGTAGGCCAAATCAGCTAAGCTTTTGTTTTTCCTCCAAATGTTTTCTTTCCTTTCTTTTCCCTCCCTCCCTCCCTCCCTCCCTCCCTCCCTCCCTCCCTTCCTTCCTTCTCTCTCTGGTTCTTTCTATGGAATGTCAACATTTAAAATCCATTAAGATGTCTTAATAAACGAATGAATTTTTGCTTCTGGTTTCACACAGGAAACTGGAAGATATAACAATTTAAACATCCAACAAGCTCGCTCTTACTACTACTTACTATTCTGTGGTCCACAGACCAATAGCAGCAGCAGCACCCGGGAACTTATTAGAAATTAAAACTTCTGCTTTTTACTTAGTTGTAGACCACTGGATAAAGTGCATAAGATATGCAATTAACTGAAGCCAAGCAATAATTCTCACCTATTAACATCAGCAAATAAAAAGTATAGTTAACTCTAACATGTAAAAAATAAAACTAGCAAGTAAAACCAAAAGAACTATTCTGGAAGCCAAGGAGCTTAAACATCTACGGAGAAAATTAAATTCAACCTCTTAGAGACAGGTCTTTTTATTTATTTATTTATTTATTTATTTATTTATTTATTTATGTTAGTTTTTGCTTTAAGAGACACAGTGATAAGTATTAATGTAATAAGAAACATATGAATATATTCAACTTAAGAAAATTCATATCCAACTTCTACAGAATACAGCTGAACACATTCAACTTATTCAAACTTGTCTACTCTAGCATATGTGGCATTAACTCCATATCTTCTCATTTACAAAACCATTCAACATTCTGGAAAATAATTCCACAGGAAATAAATATATATTTCTATTGTGCTTGCATGCCAGTGTTGAATACCCTGATCTGAACGTATTTTTTGTTAACAACTGCTATTTTATCCCTAATAGTGGTAGTGTTTCAATCTTTTATACAACATTCATACTTCATCAATGAGTAGAAATGAGATTTGCCTTCCCCAGTGGGGTTTATGGCAACCTGCTTCATGTGTGCTTTATTAGGAACAGCAATTCCACCTTATAGTGTCATTTCGTCTTCAGGAGTTTGGACTTTCAATTTCAGTAATTTATCAATTGACATAAACATTATCCAGTTTTCAATTGTAACTTTAAGTTAATAGTGAGACTTTATTAAGCACCTATTCTTATATCAACATGATATTAGCATCAAGAAGACCCCCTTGAAGTGATTTCATGATTGACATTTTAATGCTTAAATAACTATTAAGGAGGGTTTTGGAAAATATATATGTATACACATATATACATAAAATATATTAACATAAATTCATGCATATATTTATATACTTATATATGTGTACATATTTACATATAAAATATATATGTATACATAAGTATACATATATACATATAAAACATATATGCATATATTCATATACATACATGTATACATATATACATGTATATATATGTGTGAGTTAACATGCTCTTTTATAAACATGCTGTTTATGTATGTTTTTAATTTCTATTATGTATTTATGGCTAGTAGCTAAATAGAATTTGATATATGTAGCAGAGAAGAAAAGTTAAATTATTTTTAACCACTATATCAAAGTGTGATTAACATACAAAAAACTACAGATATTTAATGTACACAATTTTATGTGTTTGGAAATAAGTATACACTGATGAAATCATCAAACATCACTATTAATTTATCAAATTTTCAAATCTAAATTTTGTTTATACTGTTATTAAAGAATAAGCATGCTAATTAAGAGAAAGTGTTGACTAAGCCTAAGGGTCTTATATGGAATGGAAGGCAGTTAAAACTCAAACATATTAATTATTAATGAACTTTATTTGTATTAATGAAAGAAGAACAGTTACATAAAAAATGGTCACTTTGGACAGATGAAAACTAAGAAAATTCAAATATATTCATTTGCAAATTGCAAATAGTTCCTATATGTTACATAGATTGATCATCTTTTGATCTACCCCTTTGAGAAAAGTATATTTGTACCAATTTACATTTGCTTTTACTAAAAGAACCTATATTTACATAGAGGTACATGATTGTGTGGCAAAGTTATTAACAGGTCCAAATCCCAGTTAAACAACATAATTGTATGGATATAATATTGACTTTTCATTTATTTATGTATTTATGTATTTAATTTTAATTTTTTAAATTTTTAAAATTTTACTCTAAGTTCTGGGAGACATGTGCAGAACGTGCAGGTTTGTCACATAGTTATACATGTGCCATGGTGGTTTGCTGAACCTATCAACCCATCATCTAGGTTTTACGCCCCGCATGCATTAATATTTCTCCTACTGTTCTCCCTCCCCTTGCCCCCCACTCCCTGACAGGCCCCAGTGTGTGATGTTCCTCTCCCTCTGTCCATGTGATCTCACTGTTCAACTCCCATATATGAGCGAGAACATGCGATGTTTGGTTTTCTGTTCCTGTGTTTGCTGAGAATGTTGGTTTCCAGCTGCATCCGTGTCCCTGAAAAAGACATGAGTTCATTATTTTTTATGGCTGCATAGTATTCCATTGTGTATATGTGCCACATTTTCTGTATCCAGTCTATCATTGATGGGCATTTGAGTTGGTTCCAAGTCTTTGCTCTTGTAAATAGTGCTGCAATAAACATATGTGTGCATGTGTCTTTATAGTAGAATGATTCATAATCCTTTGGGTATATACCTAGTACTGGGATTGCTGGGCTAAATGGTATTTCTGGTTCTAGATCCTTGAGGAATCGCCACACTGTCTTCCACAATGGTTGAATTAATTTACATTTTCACCACTAGCGTAAAAACGTTCCTATTTCTCCACATTCTCTCCAGCATCTGTTGTTTCCTGACTTTTTAATGATCACCATTCTGACTGGCGTGAAATGGTATTTCATTGTGGTTTTGATTTGCATTTCTCTAATGACCGGTGATGATGAGATTTTTTTATCTTTTGTTTGTTAGCTGCATAAATATCTTCTTTTGAGAAGTTTCTGTTGATATACTTTGCCCACTTTTTGATGGGGTTGTTTTTTCCTTGTAAATTTGTTTAAGTTCCTTGTAGATTCTGCATATGAGCCCTTTGTCAGATGGATAGATTGCAAAAATTTTCTTCCATTTTGTAGGTTGCCCATTTATTCTGATGATAATTTCTTTTGCTCTGTAGAAACTCTTTAGTTTAATTAGATCTCATTTGTCAATTTTGGCTTTTGTTGCCATTGCTTTTGGTGTTTTAGTCATGAAGTCTTTGTCCATGCCTATGTCCTGAATGGTATTGACTAGGTTTTCTTCTAGGGTTTTTATGGTTTTAGGTTTTACATTTAAGTCTTCAATCCGTCTTCATTTAATTTTCATATAAGGTATAAGGAAGGGTCCAGTTTCAGTTTTCTGCATATGTCTGGCCAGTTTTCCCAACACCATTTATTAAATAGGGAATCCTTTCCCCATTGATTGTTTTTGTCAGGTTTGTCAAAGATCAGATGATTGTAGATGTGTGGTATTTTTTCTGAGGCCTTTGCTCTGCTCCATTCATCTATGTATCTGTTTTGGTACCAGTACCATGCTGTTTTGGTTACTGTAGCCTTGCAGTATATTTTGAAGTCAGGTAGCATGATACCTCCAGCTTTGTTCTTTTTGCTTAGGATTATCTTGGCTGTAGGGGCTCTTTTTTGGTTCCCTATGAAATTTAAAGTAGTTTTTTTTTTCTAATTCTGTGAAGAAAATCAATGGTAGGTTGATGGGAATAGCATTGAATCAATACATTACTTTGGGTATTATGACCATTTTCATGATCCATGAGCATGGAATATTTTTCCTTCCTATCCATGAGCATGGAATGTTTTTTCTTTCTATCCATGAGCATGGAATGTTTTTCCATTTGTTTGTGTCCTCTCCTATTTCCTTGAGCAGTGCTTTGTAGTTCCCCTTGAAGAGGTCTTTCACATCCCTTGTAAGTTGTGTTCCTAGGTATTTTATTCTCTCTGTAGCAATTGTGAACGTGAGTTAACTCGTGATGATTCTAGTCTTGTCTACTGTTGGCATATAGGAATGCTTGTGACTTCTGCACATTGATTTTGTATCCTAAGACTTGGCTGACTTTGCTCATCAGCTTAAGGAGTTTTGGTCTGAGACAATGGGGTTTTCTAAATATACAATCATGTCATATGCAAACAGAGACAATTTGGCTTCCTTTCTTCCTGTTTGAATACCCTTTATTTCTTTCTCTTGCCTGATTGCCCTGGCCAGAACTTCCCATACTATGTTGAATAGGAGTAGTGAGACAGTGCATCCTTATCTTGTGCCAGTTTTCAAAGGGAATGCTTCCAGCTTTTGCCCTTTCAGTATGATATTGGCTGTGGGGTGGTCATAAATAGCTTTTAATATTTTGAGATATGTTCCATCAGTACCTAGTTTATTGAGTGCTTTTAGCATGAAGCTGTGTTGAATTTTATCGAAGGCCTATTCTGAATCTATTGAGATAATCAGGTGTGTTTTTTTTTCATTGGTTCTGTTTATGTGATGGATTACATTTAGTGATTTTTGTATGTTGAACCAGGCTTGCATCCCAGGGATGAAGCCAACTTGATCGTGGTGGATAAGCTTCTTGATGTGCTGCTGGATTTGGTTTGCCAGTATTTAATTAGGATTTTCATATCGATGTTCATCAGAGGTTTTGGCCTGAAGTTTTCTTTTTTTGTTGTGTCTCTGCCAGGTTTTGATATCAGGTTGATACTGGCCTCATGAACTGAGTTAGGGAGGAGTCTTTCTTTTTGTATTGTTTGCAATAGTTTCAGAAGGTATGGTACCGGTTCTTCTTTGTACCTCTGGTAGAATTTGGCTGTGACTCAGGGATTCGACTGCTTCCTGGTTTAGACTTGGGAGGGTACATGGGTCCAGGAATTTATCCATTTCTTCTAGATTTTCTAGTTATTTTCGTAAAGGTGTTTACAGTATTCTCTGATGGAGTTTGTATTTTTGTGGGATCAGTGGTGCTCTCCCCTTTATCATTTTTTATTGTGTCAAATTGATTCTTCTCTCTTTTTTTCTTTACTAGTCTGGCTAGTGGTCTATCTATTTTGTTAATCTTTTTGAAAAACCAGCTCCTGGATTCATTGATTTTTTTAAGGGATTTTTGTGTGTCTTTCTCCTTCATTTCTGCTCTCATCTTAGTCATTACTTTTCTTCTGCTAGCTTTTGAATTTGTTTGCTCTTGCTTCTCTAGTTCTTTTAATTGTGATGTTCAGGTGTTGATTGTAGATCTTTCCAGCTTTTTGATGTGGGTAATTACTGCTGTAAATTTCCCTCTTAACACTGTTTTAGCTGTGCCCCAGAGATTCTAGTACATTGTGTCTTTGTTCTCATTGGTTTCAAAGAGCTTCTTTATTTCTGCCTTAATTTTGTTATTTACCCAGTCATCATTCAGCAGCAGGTTGTTCAGTTTCTATGTAATTGTGCAGTTTTAAGTTAGTTTCTTAATCCTGAGTTCTAATTTGATTGCACTGTGGTCTCAGAGACTGTTTCTTCTGACTTCTGTTCTTTTGCATTTCCTGAGGAGTGTTTTACTTCCAATTTTGTGGTCGATTTTAGAATAAGTGTTATGTGGTGCTGAGAAGAATGTATATTCTGTTGATTTGGGGTGGAGAGTTCTATAGATGTCTATTAGGTCTGCTTGGTTCAGAGCTGAGTTCAAGTTCTGAATATCCTTGTTAATTTTCTGTCTCGATCTGTCTAATATTGACAGGAGGGTGCTAAAGTCTCCCACTATTATTGTGTGGGAGTCTAAGTCTCTTTGTAGGTCTCTAAGAACTAGTTTTATGAATCTGGGTTCTCCTGTATTGGGTGCATATATATTTATTTAGGATTGTTAAGTCTTCTTGTTGCATTAATCCCTTTACCATTATGTAATGCCCTTCGTTATCTTTTTTGATCTTTGTTGGTTTAAAGTTTGTTTTATCAGACTAGTTTTGCAATGCCTGCTTTTTCTTATTTTTTTTTTTTTGCTTTCAATTTGTTTGGTAAATATTCCTCCATCCCTTTATTTTTAGCCTATGTGTGTCTTTGCGTATGAGATGTGTCTCCTGAATACAGCACACCGATGTGTCTTGATTCTATCCAATTTGCCAGTCTATGCCTATTAATTGGGGTATTTAGGCCATTTATATTTAAGGTTAATATTGTTATGTGTGAATTTGAATTTGATCTTGTCCTCATTACGCTAGCTGCTTATTTTCCACATTAGTTGAAGCAGTTTCTTCATAGTGTCATTGGTCTTATATATTTTGGTGTGTTTTTGCAGTGGCTGGTACTGGTGGTTCCTTTCCATATTTAGTGCTTCCTTCAGGAGCTCTTCCTTCAGGAGCCTCGTGGTGACAAAAATCCCTCAGCATTTGCTTGTCTTGAAAGGATTTTATTTCTCCTTCGCTTTTGAAGCTTAGTTTGACGGGTATGAAATCTGGGTGGAAAATTCTTTTAAGAATGTTGAATATTGGTCCTAACTCTCTTTGACTTATAGGGTTTCTGCAGAGAGATCCGCTGTTAGTCTGATGGGCTTCCCCTTGCGGGTAACCTGAGCTTTCTCTCTGGCTGCCCTTAACATTGCTTCCTTCATTTCAACTTTGGAGAATCAGATGATTATGTGTCTTAGGGTTGCTCTTCTCAAGGATTATCTTAGTGGTGTTCTCTGTATTTCCTGAATTTCTATGTTGGCCTGTCTTGCTAGGGTGGGGAAGTTCTCCTGGATAATATCCTGAAATGTGTATTCCAACTTGGTTGCATTCTCCTCATCAATTTCAGATACACCAGCCAATCATAGGTTTGGTCTTTTCACATAGTGCCATATTTCTTGGAGGCCTTGTTCATTCATTTTCATTCTTTTTTTTTTCTAATCTTGTCTTTACACCTTATTTCAGTAAGTTGATCTTCAATCTCTGATATCCCTTCTTCCACTTGATCGATTCAGCTATTGATACTTGTGTATGCTTCAGAAGTTCTTGTGCTGTGTTTTTCAGCTCCATCAAGTCATTTATTTTCCTCTGTAAACTGGTTATTCTAGTTAGCACTTCTTGTAACCTTTTATCAGGTTCTTAGCTTCCATGCATTGCATTAGAACATGCTCCTTTAGCACAGAGGAGTTTGTTATTACCCACCTTTGAAGCCTACTTCTGTCATTTCATCAATCTCATTCTCTGTCCAGTTTTGTACCCTTGCTGGAGAGGAGTTGTGATCATGGTGGAGAAGAGGCATTCTGGTTTTTGGAATTTTTAGTCTTTTGCATTGGTGTTTCCTAATCTTTGTGGATTTACCTATCTTTGATCTTTGAGTCCGATGACCTTTGGATGGGGTTTTTGTGTGGGGGTCCTTTCTGTTGATGTTGATGTTGTTGCTTTCTGTTTGCTAGTTTTTCTTCAAACAGTCAGGCCTCTCTTCTGCAGGTCTGCTGCAGTTCACTGGGGATGCACGCCAGAACGTGTTCGACTGCGAATCACCAGTGGAGACCGCAGAATAGCAAAGACTGCCGCCTGCTCTTGCCTCAAGAAGCCACGATCAAGTTGGCTTCATCCCTGGGATGCAAGCCTGGTTCAACATATAAAAATCACTAAATGTAATCCATCACATAAACAGAACCAATGAAAAAAAAACACCTGATTATCTCAATAGATGCAGAAAAGGCCTTCGATAAAATTCAACACCCCTTCATGCTAAAAGCTCTCAATAAACTAGGTATTGATGGAACATATCTCAAAATATTAAAAGCTATTTATGACCACCCCACAGCCATTGGTTGTAGCAGAGCCTACAGAACAGCAAAGATTGCTTCCTCTTCTTTCCTCTGGAAGATTCGTCCCAGAGGGGCACCTGCCTGATGCCAGCCAGAGCTCTCCTGTATGAGGTGTCTGTTGACCCTTGTTGGGAGGTCTCTCCCAGTCAGAAGGCACGGGCGTCGGGGACTCACTTGAGAAGGCAGTCTGTTTCTTAGCAGAGCTCGAATGCTGTGCCAGGAGAATCCTCCTTGTCAGAATCAACTGCTCTCTTCAGAGCCTGCAGGCAGGAAACTTTATGCCCACTGAAACTGTGCCCACAGATGCCCCTTCCCCCAGGTGCTCTGTCCCAGGGAGGTGGGAACTTTATCTATAAGCCTCTGTCTGGGGCTGCTGCCTTTCTTTCAGAGATGCCCTGCTCAGTGAGGAGGAATCTAGAGAGGCAGTCTGGCCACAGCTGCTTTGCCAGGCTGTGGTGAATTGCACCTAGTCCAAACCTCCCGGCCTCCGTAGCACTGTCAGGGGAAAACCACTTACTAAAGCCTCAGTAATAGTGGATGTCCCTCCCCTCATCAAGCCTGATCGTCCCGCGTTGACTTCAGACTGCTGTGCTGGCAGTGAAAATTTCAAGCCAGTGGTTCTTAGCTTGTTGGGCTCCGTGGGCATGGGACCCGCAGAGTGAGACCACTTGGCTCCCTTACTTTAGTCCACTTGCCAGGGGAGTGAATGGATCTGTCTTGCTGGGGTTCCTGGCGCCACTGGGGTGTGAAGAAAACTCATGCAGCTAGCTCGGTGTCTGCCCAAAACAGCCTCCCAGTTTCGTGCTTTGAAATCCAGGACCCTGCTGGTGTAGGCACATGAGGAAATCTTCTGATCTGTGGATTGCAAAACCCGTGGGAAAAATGTAGTATCCAGGCTGGGTAGCACAGTCCCTCATGGCTTCCTTTGGCTGGGGAAGGGAGGTCCCCAGGCTCCTTCTCGGGTAATGTGATGCCCCACCCTGCTTCTGCTCACCCTCCGTGGGCTGCACCCACTGCGTAAGCAGTCCCAGTGAGATGAACTGGGTATCTCAGTTGGAAATTCAGAAATCACTTGCCTTCTACATTGGTCTCGCTGGGAGCTGCTGACCTGAGCTGTTCCTATTCAGCCATCTTGCCAGATCCTCAACTTTTCATTCAATAAGTCTTGATATATCATCCCTCTTTGCCTTTGTCATGCATTTCTCTTTCTCATGAATTAGCCATCTCCTAAACTCATTCATAAGATCACTCTTTCTATGAAGCTACTGCTTAATTTTGTTTAGTGAAGCCTTTCTAAGTTATGTGAGTCCAAACATTTATCATTCCTTTGAATGTAACATTTATTACAAATCACTTCACATTATTTCATTTTGTGTCTATATTGTTATCCTGCCATCTAAAGAGATTGGGATTATTTTTCTCGAGTGTTTTATGCCTTGTAGCTTTTGCAAAAAAAAAAAAAAAAATGTGCATGCTATACTATTTTTATTGAATGCATGACAATCCTTTACTAGCAATTTCTACTTTGGTGTTAATACTCTTTTTACTAACCTCCCCTCTTTTGTTGATTCTAACCTGTTCACATTCAAGTTTTATTTTTCTCTAATTCAATAACATTTTTATTTTCATTTATTCACATATAATTTATTGTGTTCCTGTTATAAGTTTACAGATTTGCTTGGATATTCTTAAAGGCAGAAATCCTTTCTTTGATTCATTTTACAACCATTTCATATTCACTGAGAATTTTTTTTTTTTTTTTTTTTTTTTTTTTTTTTTTTTTGAGACGGAGTCTCGCTCTGTCGCCCAGGCTGGAGTGCAGTGGCGCGATCTCGGCTCACTGAAAGCTCCGCCTCCCGGGTTCACGCCATTCTCCTGCCTCAGCCTCCCGAGTAGCTGGGACTACAGGCGCCCGCTACCACGCCCGGCTAATTTTTTGTATTTTTAGTAGAGACGGGGTTTCACCGTGTTAGCCAGGATGGTCTCGATCTCCTGACCTCGTGATCCGCCCGCCTCGGCCTCCCAAAGTGCTGGGATTACAGGCGTCAGCCACCGCGCCCGGCCTGAGAATTTTTTATGATGCCAGGCATCATCCTTTTCCCTAAAGCATACTGGAGGATTTAGCAAATAATGAACCATTAGTAATAGATGTGTTGCAATGAATACGTGGATGAATGAATGGAAAACTTTTATTCGGTACACTCATATTTACTGATGTTGGCCATGCTCAATAAATTTATTATGATTATCATTATTACTGAGATGGATTCTCACACTGCCACCTGTGCTGGAGTGTAATGGCGCGATCCCAGCTCACTGCAACCTCTGCCTCCCTGGTTCATGTGATTCTCCTACCTGAGCCTCCCCAGTAGCTGAGATTATAAGTGCACACCACCACACCTAGTTAATTTTTGTATTTTTAGTGGAGACGGGGTTTCACTGTGTTGGCCAGACTGGTCTCAAACTCCTAACCTCTTGACCTGCCTGCCTTGGCCTCCTAAAGTGCTGGGATTACAGGTATGAGCCACCATGCCTTACCTATTAAATTATTAATTGTTAGTTTTTCTGCAAGACCCAAGTAGTTTTGCAATGTGAGGCAGCCTCTATCTGGACATTTGCAGGAAAATGGTAGGGCTCACTTATGAAAACTAGACTTGGTTAACTTGACAATCAAACACCTAGTTTCTAGTTGACTTCCTTGAATTACTTATAATAATTAATTTTTACTTCCCCAGTTTATAAAATGAAAAGCTTATATTAGTTGAAAGCACTGATCTTTTGCAAGCCTAGGGATTTCTAACTTTAAGAATCATTTTATCTGTGCATAAATGCACCATGAAAATTGAATGCATGTATTATACAATGTGTAGTTTACTAACGTATTTTTGTTTTGATTTCAAGTTCAAAATGATCTCTTTTTTTTCCAAAGAGAAATTTAGATGAGGCAAGATTGTATCAGGGTTAAGGTCGTGGGTATTAAACTCAAACAGACTGAGTTAATGTGTAAGCTCTGTCATTTATTAAGTGTGTGAAGATAGGCAAAAACATAAATCTGTCTGAGCATAAGTTTGTTCATTTCTGTAATAGGAAGAATAATGAAACTTATTTCATAAGGCTGTCACTCTCCAATGCATTAAAGCATGTGAAGCACTTGTCATAATTCCTGGTACATGATTAGAACTTGAGGACTATTGGTTATCATTATCAATATTAATATAGAAAAGAATTGTATATTAAGAAGCTATTTTCCTGAAAATACTTGACTCAGATTTTTCATTTGATTCTCAACCCCCAACGTCAAATTTCTCTTGGATGGTTTGAATTGTCACCTTTTGTTATATAAATAATTTATTGGAGACTTTCAAGTCTTCTAGGACTTCAGTATTGTTCACAAAATCAACAAAATAATAATTTCAAGCAAATTAGATGTTATTCACCTTTTAAAAAATTATTTTTTTCACTTTTATATTATATTCATCATCTTTCAGTAATAACAAAGTCTGACATTTGGTTTTTGCAAAAAGAATCAACAAAGGTTAAGAAAACTCATCTTAGCAGATATTAAAATGAGGATGATGAAGTTCTATTTTATAGCATAGTGATTGTTTTATTATGTCTTGTGTATTTAATCTTATTACCTAAATATATGAATAGCAAAATGATATATAATAATACTAATAAAAATGTACTATCCAAGAAAGAGGAGATCTGCTATTCTTGATTAGCTCATGGCAATAGTAACTTTTTCTCTGTCTCTACCAAGACTTTCTGACAATTTTTGTTGAACAAGTCTTAATGGTGTCGTCACACTCTTTTCTAGAGGCCCTTTAAAATACCTTGTCAGTTGCCTTTTAAATCTTCATATGGTACCTAGTGTAATATACGCTAGAAATATTCACTGAGAACTTGTTCACCAGATAGAAGTTATGACCTTTTTTAGGGATGAAATAATCTAACTAATATTTGTATTTTTAGCTATGTGCAAAACACTCTGCTAAGCATTTAGAATAAAACAACAGTGAAGGTGTAGCCCCCGTATCCAAAGAACTTAAAATCAAGTACAAGAATGTATTTGTGTATGCAAGTACTATCGCTAATCTTTGGCACTGTAAGTGTCAGAACATCATACCTAAACCAATAGAGAATTGGTGCAGGGAGTGTAGGAAGGGAACCCTCAAGAAAGTTTCCCAGATATTCACATATTCACTTTTCTTAGTGGAATTTAATACAATTTGTCATTTTGGAAGATTTCCAGTACAGAAAAACCCAGAAACAAACCATGCCTCTGAATGAGGAAATTGAATACGTTTCTTCAATGGGATTTGCACATTTATATCCATGTGAATACTCGCCTAAACAGTGGGTGAAATAATGTTACATGGATCAGACTCATAAGCCCCCATGTTTCATAAATATCTATAATATATCTCAATAACATTAGACAGATTGTGATGGAATCCAGAACCTGATAACCTCCTGTCTGGGAAAAAAGTAATTTCACTTTTGTGAGGGAGTAGTCCGTTTTTAGGAAATCCCATAATTTTTTGCAGGAATTAAGAGTCTTTGAAACAAAAGCACAGAATCTCTTCCTTTTCCCTGACCTTGCCTCCTAGTGATTACAGTCATCTAGTTGGCCAGCCCAGAGTGCTCCTTTCTTTGCCATATTTACTTTTCAATGGTTTGAAATGACAAAAAAATTGGCATTAGTACTAGAATACTGAGACAAGATAATGGTTTGCCACTTTGAAAGAAAATGTCTCTGGAGCTTTGCCTGCGCGAGATCAGAGTCCTGTCAAAACATTCTATTCTGTAGGATTAATCTCTTAAATATGTTAGAATACTTCCATTTATAGAACTCTCCTGTGACTTATAAGCAGTGATATTCAGAAACTGACAAATGGATTGATAAAATCTTTCTGTGGCTTAATGAGAGAAACAGAGCAAACCAAGTCAGGTCTATTTTTTGTCTGGGATTTATAGGCAAAAGTTGAGCTTAAGAGGGCCACCCACTTCTTTGAATTTTCTTTGCATCCTATGAATCTAATGAATTTGTAAAATATTAGTCAATGATATGACTAATGTTGAAATACAAATGTTTATTTTACACACATATGGGATGGGGTCATGTTTATCATATGCCTAGGATGTTAGTATCTATGTCTATATTGTTATCTGCTATTTGAAAATGACTACACCAGGAGCTATGGAGGAGAATGCACTTCATAATTCCAGATACTATCCAGAAATTTCCCAGATACTTCTTGTTAACCAACTTCTTTTGCAATTAACATAAATAGTAGCCTTTTTCTCAGGAGATATTTTTGTAATTACTCTAGCACAATATTACATTAAGATTTTTCATTCAAGATGGCAGTCTATACAATGATAATGGCCAACTTCTGTCATGAGCTTTTAAAAATTGTAGTAGAAAAATAAAACTACTTAATGAAAGAAAGTGGGAGAGGAATCATTTAGCAAAATTTTACATTTTATAAAAAAGACAAAAGGGACTTTTGCTCTCATTCATCGTGACTTAATTAGTGAAGGCTTTGTCCTCCCAGTGAAAACAACTACAATATTTTTAAAAATTATGTGAAACAGCTATATGCAGATATTGGACAACAGGTGAGGAATGGAAGTGAAAGAGATTATTCCTATTATTATCCTAGCTTTTTGCCTGGAAGTACTTTCAGAAGCCTGCCACACAGAGGGGAAAAAACAAGCAGAACATAGTAGTTGTGCTGAGTTGAGAATACTGACTTCACGGTTCATCAAGTGTGAGACACTGGAATTTGTAGGGAAGATTATGTAGAGGAGGAAGTCCTGCAAAATAAAAGCTTTAGAAATCTGCATAGGTGTCCATTTGAGTCTGTTGTGAAATAGCACACATATAAAACAGCAAGGCAAAGCAAAGAATTGAGAATGTTATGAAATAAAATGGCTCAAAAATATAAAATGTTAGAAAATATTCAATCCTAATTAGCTGCAGTAGACTTTGTTGTATCCTGAACATTCAGTATAGGATCTGGGAAGGTTATGACTTTTAGTAGAACTAAACTAACCCTATAAACTCAAGACAGACCCTAACAATGCTTAAAAACAAACTTCAAAGGGTTCAAGCTGCTCTACAATTAACAGTCTTCAAAACAACTAATTTTTTTAAAAGAAAGACAACAAAATCTAGGCAGTTAGCAGTGTATTATTCACAGTGTGAAGCAAATAGAAAAAATAAAGTCCTAAACCTAATAAAAGTCATTTATAAAAAACTTACATGTAATGTTTTATTTAATGATAAAATACTGAATACTTCAATACTTCACCCTTGAAATCAGGAAACTAAGGATGGCTGCTTTCACCATTCCTACTTAATCATACTCTGGACATTCTAGCCATTTTGATAAGACTAAATAAATAATATAGAGAAAAATAATGAACAAATTGTTTTTATTTGCATATAACCTGGCCATTCATATAGATGATTCCAAGGAATTTACAAAAAAGCTATCATAACCATTAAATAAATTTAGTAAGTATCATTGAGTATTTGGAGAAACTGGCACTCTCATATATTGTTGAGGAAAACACAAAATAAATCAAGTACTTGGGAGAATAGTTTAGTAGTTTATTAAAATGTTAAACATACATTTACTGTACAACTGAGAAATTCAACGGGATAGGTAACAACCTAGGATATATGAAAACATATGTATACACAAAGACTGTGCAAAATGTTCATATCAGTGTTATTATAATAGCCCCTAAAAGGGAAGTGTTGAAATAGTCATCAGCTGGTGAAAGTATAAGCTAAACATGATATAATTATATAGTTAAATACTAATCAGCAATAATGTAGAATATGTACAATGTAGAGTATGTACAATGTAGAGTATTATTTCATTTATATTGAAATGAAATAATGTCCCTTTTTTAGAAAAGGGAGATCTATATAGGAATAATGCAAATCGGCAATTTTCTGAGGCTGAGAGTGACAACAAATAGGTATGAGGCTATGTTTTTAGAGTAGCAGATATGTTCTTAAATACAGGTTATGGTAATTATTGCACAGCTCCATAAACTTACGAAATTTTTCCAAATAATCCTTGAAATATACGCTTTATAACTGGTGGATATATTAAATTTATGGGTTTGTGAACTACAACTCAATATAACTGTTTAAATCAAGAAACTAACACCAAGAAACTCCTGTTTCTTGGAGTCAGGAGTTGAAAAGGGATGGTTTAGGATGTGGCATAAAGGAAACTTTTGGAGGCTGATGGAAATACTTGTATTTTGATTGTGGTATCAGTTTCACAAAAGCACATATATGTCAAAGCAGTACCAACTTGTACTTTCAAAAAGTGAAATTCAATGTGCTGTAACTATAGCTCAACGAAATTATAAAAACACAAAATCATATTTGGGATTACATTTGACTGTTTCTTCTCTTTTCCAATATGTCCTAAATTAACAAAATCTAGTTAATTGTATAGCAAAATGATAAGCTATTGATTCTATTGGCCATTGGGTAAAGAGAAGTGAAACAGTGTGTCCGACATTCTGCAGGCATGGAAGCATATTTTGTAAATAATTTTTTAAAATTGTGATATTGTAAGAATAGTGTAAATGTATTAATTCTTCAAGTGTAACTGTTTAATAGCAGTCCTCTATTGGTAAAATAACTTTTTACGATCAAACCAAAACATTTAAATTAAAAACTTAGTGTGTGGGCCAAACTGAAGATTAGACAGAACTGAAGAGGAGGTTAAGAAATGCTGAGGATAAATTAGGAAGACCTATAAGTTGTCTAATAACAATTCTAGAAGAAAAGAGTACAGCAATAGACAAAGGATAATAACTGAGCATATTCCAGAATTTATGAAAGACATATATCCTCAGACCACAGAAATACAGTGAGTCCCAAACAGGATAAAAATGTAAAACTTGGTTACATCATCATGAAAGGCAGGACTCAAAAGCAATGAAAAGATGTTAGAGGAAAGATCTCAGACAGAAAAGAATGATTGTTAAACACAGGAATATTAATTGGCAAGAAACAGACTTCTAAATAATTATAATAACAAGGGGCAAAGGGTAATTATAAAACTAGGAAAATACATCCAGGGAAATGAGAAAGAGGTAAAATTTAAGAACTTTTTTAAAGCAAAAAATACAAAGAATCTGAAGAAACTACAATGCACTTTGGATATTCCAGAAAAAATGGATTGATTTTTAGACACATACAACCTACCAAAACAATCATGAAGAAATAGAAAATGTGAACAGATCAATAATAAATAAGAATACTGAATCAATAATAACATGTCCCCTATCAAAAGCGCAGGACCTGGTGGCTTCAAAGCTGAAGTCTACCAACATTTAAAGAACTAATAACAATCCTTCTCAAACTCTTCCAAAAGGAAATACTTCTAAACTCATTGTGCCAAGGCCAGTATTACTCTGATGCCAAAACCAGACATGAGCACTACAAGAAAAGAAAATTACTGGTCAATATCCCTGATGATCATAGATTCAGAAATCCTCAACAATATACCAGCAAACCAAATTGAAAAACACATAAAGGAATCATTCACCGTGATAAACGGAGATTTACCCCCTGGATGCAAGGACGATTCAATATATGCAAGAAATGTAATATACCACGTTGACAAAATAAAGAAATAAAGAATAAACAAAACACAATTATCTCAATAGAAGCAGAAGAAATATTTGACAAAATTCAACACTGTTTTAGGATAAAAACTCTCAACAGATTAGATATAGAGGGAATGTACTTCAAAACAATAAAGGGCATAAATCACAATCCCAGAGCTAACATCATACTCAAACATAAAAATAGAAAAGTTTTTCTTCTAAGATCCGGGACAGTACAAAGCCAGTGCTGTTAGGTAAGGGCAATAAAAAAAGGAATCCTAACAGGGAAAAAATAAAATTATCTGTTTCTTGATAACATAATCTTACATATAGAAAACCCTGAACGATCCACCTTAAAACTGTTAGAACTGATAAACAAATTCAGAAAAGTTGTGGTTCACAAAATCAAAGTGCAAAAATCAGCAGTTTCAATACGCTAATAACAAATTATCAACAATGGAAATTAAGAAAACAATCCTATTTACAATAATATCAAAAAGAATAAAATATTTAAGTGTAAATTTCACCCAGGAGGTAAAAGACCTGTATACTAAAATGTATAAAACAGACAAAAAATAAATTGTTAAAACGTCCATACTACCAAAAGCAATCTGTAGATTCAATGCAATACCTATTGAAATGCCAATGATATTTTTCACAGGAGCAGAATAAAAGAATTCTTAAATGTGTATGAAACCACAAATAACCCCAAATAGCCTGAACAAATTTGAGAAATAAAAAGCTGGAGGTATCACACTTTTTGGTTTCAAAATATAAAAGTATTTGAATAAAAACAGCATGGTATTGACATAAAAACAGATACATCAACCAATTGAACATAACAGAAATTTCAGAAATAAACCAATACACTTATGTTTTTGACAGTGATATAAATGACATTTATATTTTTGTCAAGGACACACAATGGTGAAAGGGTGGTCTTATCAATGATGGTGTTAGGGTACTGGCTATCCACATACAGAAGGATGAAATTAGATTATCTTACAACATAAAAATCAACTCAAAATGGAACAAAGACTTAAGCACAAGACCTAAAATTGTAAAACTACTAGAATATAACAGAGGATAAATCTCCGCAACATTGTTCTGAGTAATGATGTTTTGGATATGATGCCAAAAGCATGGGCAACAAAAGCAAAAATAGACAAATGGAACTGCATCAAACTATAACGTTTCTGCACAGCAAAAGAAATCCTTAACAAAGTGAAGACGTGACTTATAAAATGGGAAATATATTTGCAAACCGTAGATTTGATAGTGGTTAATATCCAAGATATATAAGGAACTCAAAGAGCTCAACAGGAAGAAAACAAATAACCCAATTTAAAATGGGCAAAGGACTTAAACACACTTCTCAAAACAATACATAAAAAGGACTAACAGATCCCTTGTTAGTGGTGTTAAAAAATGCTTAACATCACTAATCATTAGGGAAATGCAAATTAAAACCACAGTTAGATATCACCTCACATCTGTTGGAACTGGTTTCTAAAAAAGTTGAACTCATAGAAATATAGATTAGAAAGATGGTTGCCAGAGGCTTGAGGGGTGAGGTGGGCAGGTATATAGAGATGGAATAGAAAGTCAAAGGGTACAAGGTTTCAGATAGATAGGAGGAATAAATAAACTTTGAGACCTATTGCACAGAAGGGTGACTGTAGTCAATAAGAATATATTCTATATTTCAAAATAAAGAGTAAATTTCAAATGTCTCACTGCAAAAAATGATAATTGAGGTGATAGATATGTTAACTAGTTTGATTTAGTCATTCTGCATTGTATTCATATATCAAAGCACCACATGTACCCCTCAAAATGAGTATAATTATGATTGGTCATGTAAAAATGATGTTAACAATACAAACTTTAAAATTTAATGCAACCCAAAAATCCTGCCCAAACAAGGGCATTGTTTACCATCACCAGACTCTCATTAAAAACAACAACAACAACAACGACAATAAAAACTACTATAGGATGTACATTGGGAAAAGAGGGAATATTTTAAAGGAAACATCTAAGCTATAAGAAGGGCCCCTTGAAGAAATTGGTAATGTGTAGACAAAGTTATTCAATAAATTTCTAAAATAATGATCTGATTAAGAGGTAGAAAGCTTTTTTAGGAAATATCAGTAAGGTTGTGGGGAGGTAAGAAAGGAGAAGAAAGACAGCCAGTAAGGAGTGTATTATCAAGCATGTTACCTGTGGGAAACTGATGCTTATGCCTTCTGAGGAATTCTGTGAGCCAGTGGAAAACACGTGCCTCCAAATTTTTCTTCCAAGGAGTGAGACAGTGATATGGTTTGGCTCTGTGTCCCCACCCGAATTTTATGTTATATTCCAATCCCCAATGTTGGGGGAAGGACCTGGTGGAAGGTGATTGGACCATGGGGTTGGATTTTCCTTTTGTTGTTCTCATGATAGTGAGTGAGTTCTCAGGAGATCTGGTTAAGTGTTTAGCACTTCCCCTTTTGCTCTCTCTCTCTCTCTCTCCTTCTCTTCCCTGTGAAGATTGTGCCTGTTTCCCTTTAGCTTTCCACTATGATTGTATGTTTCCTGAGACCTCCCCAACCTTGTCTCTTTAGAGCCTGTGGAACTGTGAGTCAAATAAACCAATTTTCTCCATAAATTAACCAGTCTCAGCTAGTTCTTTATTGCAGTGTGAGGACAAATTAATACAGAGAGCTTCACCAACTTCCACTAGTCACTGGCTGAAAGCTGCGTTTTGTTGGGAAGGGGTGTCCCGTTGAGAGGAAGAGTACCTCCTGTTTTGATAACTTGTGGCAGATTCTCCTTCCTGTGGGGAATGGAGAGCTCTTTCCCTGATGCTCGCTTGATGTGGGGAGATCCCTGTCACCTGTGCTCCCAGTCACGTAGTGTCTTAGGTTAGGTGTGAAGCCTCAGGCTCCATGGCAGAAGTTTAGATTTTCCCTGGGTGCTTATCTTCAGCAGGAGTTCCCATGATCCCCTCTTGCCTGTTTTGCCAGGCTGGCATTTTATGGGCAGAGCCACTGTTAGATTGAAGAGTGTGTCTACCTACTCCCACTTCTGTTGTTAATTTGGGGGCCAGGAGGTTTACGGTCTGGATTCACACCTTCTGTTAAGGAAGAGGATAGTAAGGTGCCCTGTTATTATGCTGTGCCTTCAGTTCTTCATCCCTAACCTCAATCCTCAGCTTCCTTTATTCCATCTTCAGAACTCTCCTCTGTGGGCCACTTGAACATTTACAGGATTTATAGTCATCTATGTTAGTCCATTCTTGCATTGCTATAAACAAATACCTGAGACAGAGTAATTTACAAGAAAAGAGGTTTAATTTGTTCACAGTTCCACAGGCTGTACAGGAAGCAAGGCAGCATCTGCTTCTGGGGAGGCCTCAGGGAACTTTTACTCATGATGGCAGGCAAAGCAGGAGCAGGACTGAGAGAGAGTACGGAGGTGCCACACACTTTTAAACAACCAGATCACGTGAGAACTCTATCACAAGACAGCACTAGGGTGATGGTGCTAAACCATCAGAAACAGCCCTCACGATCCAATCACCTACCCCCAGGCTGCTCCTCCAACATTGCAGATTACATTTCAACATGTGATTTGAGTGGGAACAGAGATCCAAACCATATCATCATCATTAGTGGAAAGGAACAGGTAGAGATAAGCCTATGCCATCTTGTCTGGGCTGGAAGTTTGTGTTTGTTTTTTTTAACTGGAATATGTTTTCCTCAGTTTTAATTTGCAAAGAATTATAAATTATAAAAACACTTTGGCTAAGAGTTAGTTTTTTGAAAATTAAGACTCTAAACTGTTTAGAAACAGTTTAGAAACAGTTTAGAGTTTGGTGAAACAACCCAAGTGTTTCGACAGATTCTTGGTTTCTTCAAGATGCTTTGGACCACTGACAGTGTCACTAATTTGTGGGGTGCCCCCTCACTATACTGTAAGAAAACATCTTTAAAGTAGGGGAATATGCATCTGAACATTATTAAAAATTAGGTAAAGGAGTGCTATTATTACACTGTGGTTTTTAGATAACTTGCTTACTTCCAGGAGTTCCTTTAAACTTACCAGGTCTGAGGAAATATAAATGAATAAGACACTAAGATATACGTTGTGTCCTTGAATAGCTAATAATGTAGTAGGTCAGAGAAAGAAACTCATAAATAGTATACATAAACAAAAAACGGGACAAGAAATGAAAAGTGAGAGCATAGAGTAAGATAAAAACCTCAAAGTGTAGAAAGATGAAGGAGAAACGTGAAATGGAGAAACAGAATAATAGGTAGGCCTCAAAAGAGCCTTGTTCCATAAACCAGTCCCTGAGCAGGGCAGTGCAGCAGATTTTACAAGCCTGTATAAAACTCATTAATTACGCACTCAGCATTTATTTTTTCCAAAAGTTTATAGAATGGGAGAAAATAATTTGCCAAATGCTCACTATATACAAAACATGCTATCCTGAGGTTTAATTTAGGTTACATCTATTCAGGACAACAAATATATTTATTTTAAAAAATCTAACTAAATTTTTCCTGTTTTGAAATTCTGGAACATATTTATCCCTAAGATTTTATTCTAAAATTTACTCTCCAAAGTCTTGAGAACATTTCTGTAAGTATTGTTTTCATTTCCTTCCAATATGTAAGATGTTGCTGAGTGAAGAAAGAGAAGGTCCAGACATCTTATTCAAGACCATACAGTTCACCAGCTACATCTTTCATTTCTTCATTACTGTCATTTACTAGCACTGCCACCATTATTTCCCCAAACAGCTGACTGCACACACACACACACACACACACACACACATTATATATATATTTTTAAATTTGTGTGTGTAATTTTATATATATTACATTGTATTATATATTAATTATATACATACTATGCACCCAGAACTTTAAAAATGCATAAACTATCACTTTAATGATCCTTTCCTTTGGTTAAGAAGCAGTTGGTATGGGCAGACACAGCCATGAGTAAGACTTTGCATGTGAGTTATTTAGTCTTTTTATATCTCAATTTTCTCAATCATTTTTCTCAATTCTTTAGTCTCCCCACATGTTAGAATTAAACTCTGTGCCTGTGCTATGTGAATTATTATGTTCCTTCATAATAGTGAAAGCAGTATATTCCCTTCAAGTTAATATTGAACTAGACTGCATCACTTTCTTTGGCCAGTGTAATTCGGGCATGAAAGAAAGATAAGGTGCCAGTTCCAGGCCACAACCTAAAATATCATTGCATGCTTCTGTTTGCTCTATTGTACTCTGTAATTACTGGAAGAATATGCTAGGAAAAGTATCAATCCTAGAATCATGAGGGGCACGTACAGCAAACCTGATCCCAAACTCTAGTCTAGCCTCACCAACCTAAAGCAGACCAGACCAGCTGAGTTGGCCTCGCTTAATGACCTGAAAACTCACATGCATGAAAAGCCAGGCTTATTGTAATAACTCATTACATTTGGGGATGATTTGTTACCTGGAATTATTGTGAAAGCAGCTGACTAATATGCACTTCAAAGAGTTATAAAAATGAACTGCTTATATATCTGTGTATATATATCTATGTATATATATCTATGTCTATATACACACATATATCTGTATATATATATCTATGTGTATATATATGTATGTCTATATACACGCATATAATAAAAATACATTTATAAATAGAACATTATTGGTCAAATCAGAGTAGCTTTGGAGGAAAAGTGAATACTTTTAAAGATATAATGTAATCATTATATATTTGGCTTAATTTTATATGTGCAAAACAATTATAATTGGAACACTGAATCACTATGCTAAATAGAGTGTACAAATCAGATAAATTAATGATAATCCAATAGATCTTTTGGTGATGAAGAAATAAACTTAAGCATTAAGACAATGCCATCAACTTGGTGGTATTGTTCCCTTCCAGTTTTTTAACTGAATGTGGTAATCAAACAGAATTATTTTCTCCCGAGACTGGACCCAGCCCCAAACTTCCCAATATCCTAAACCGCAACACATGTATCATAAATAGCACAAGTAAAAACTTTTTTCCATTCTGGGTGGAAAATATTATTGGTTCTTTTTTTTTTTCATTTCTGATTTTATTTTTTTATTTTTTTTATTTTTTATTATACTTTAAGTTCAAAGGTACATGTGCACAACGTGCAGGTTTGTTACATATGTATACATGTGCCATGTTGGTGTGCTGCACCCATTAACTCATCATTTAACATTAGGTATATCTCCTAATGCTATCCCTCTCCGCTCCCCACACCCCACAAAAGGCCCCAGTGTGGGATGGTCCCCTTCCTGTGTGCATGTGTTCTCATTGTTCGATTCCCACCTATGAGTGAGAACATGCAGTGTTTGGTTTTTAGTCCTTGCGATAGTTTGCTGAGAATGATGGTTTCCAGCTTCATCCATGTCCCTACAAAGGACATGAACTCATCATTTTTTATGGCTGCATAATATTCCATGGTGTATATGTGCCACATTTTCTTAATCCAGTCTATCGTTGTTGGACATTTGGGTTGGTTCCAAGTCTTTGCTATTGTGAATAGTGTCGCAATAAACATACATGTGCATGTGTCTCTATAGCAGTATGATTTATAGTCCTTTGGGTATATAGCCAGTAATGGTGTGGCTGGGTCAAATGGTATTTCTAGTTCTAGATCCCTAAGGAAGCACCACACTGACTTCCACAATGGTTGAACTAATTTACAGTCCCACCAACAGTGTAAAAGTGTTCCTATTTCTCCACATCCTCTCCAGCACCTGTTGTTTCCTGACTTTTTAATGATCACCATTCTAACTGGTGTGAGAGGGTATCTCATTGTGGTTTTGATTTGCATTTCTCTGATGGCCAGTGATGATGAGCATTTTTTCATGTGTCTTTTGGCTGCATAAATGTCTTCTTTTGAGAAGTGTCTGTTCATATCCTTTGCCCACTTGTTGATGGGTTTCTTTTTTCTTGCAAATTTGTTTGAGTTCATTGTAGATTCTGGATGTTAGCCCTTTGTCAGATGAGTAGATTGCAAAAATTTTCTCCCATTCTGTAGGTTGCCTGTTCACTCTGATGGTAGTTTCTTTTGCTGTACAGAAGCTCTTTAGTTTAATTAGATCCCATTTGTCAATTTTGGCTTTTGTTGCCATTGCTTTTGGTGTTTTAGACATGAAGTCCTTGCCCATGCCTATGTCCTGAATGGTATTGCCTAGGTTTTCTTCTAGGGTTTTTATGGTTTTAGGTCTAATGTTTAAGTCTTTAATCCATCTTGAATTAATTTTTGTATAAGGTGTAAGGAAGGGACCCAGTTTCAGCTTTCTACATATGGCTAGCCAGTTTTCCCAGCACCATTTATTAAATAGGGAATCCTTTCCCCATTTCTTGTTTTTCTCAGGTTTGTCAAAGATCAGATAGTTGTAGTTATGTGGCATTATTTTTGAGGGCTCTGTTCTCTTCCATTGGTCTATATCTCTGTTTTGGTACCAGTACCATGCTGTTTTGGTTACTGTAGCCTTGTAGTCTAGCTTGAAGTCAGGTAGCGTGATGTCTCCAGCTTTGTTCTTTTCACTTAGGATTGACTTGGCAATGTGAGCTCTATTTTGGTTCCATATGAACTTTAAAGTAGTTTTTTCTTATTCTGTGAAAAAAGTCATTGGTAGCTTGATGGGGATGGCATTGAATCTATAAATTACCTTGGGCAGTATGGCCATTTTGAGGATATTGATTCTTCCTACCCATGAGCATGGAATGTTCTTCCGTTTGTTTGTATCCTCTTTTATTTCATTGAGCAGTGGTTTTATTTCTCCTTGAAGAGGTGCTTCACATCCCTTGTAAGTTGGATTCCTAGGTATTTTATTCTCTTTGAAGCAATTTTGAGTGGGAGTTCACTCATTATTTGGCTCTCTGTTTGTCTGTTATTGGTGTATAAGAATGCTTGTGATTTTTGCACATTGATTTTGTATCCTGAGACTTTGCTGAAGTTGCTTATCAGCTTAAGGAGATTTTGGGCTGAGATGATGGGGTTTTCTAGATATACAATCACATCATCTGCAAACAGGGACAATTTGACTTCCTCTTTTCCTATTGAATACCCTTTATTTCTTTCTCCTGCCTGATAGCCCTGGCCAGAACTTCCAACACTATGTTGAATAGCAGTGGTGAGAGAGGGCATCCCTGTCTTGTGCCAGTTTTCAAAGGAAATGCTTCCAGTTTTTTGCCTATTCAGTATGATATTGGCTGTGGGTTTGTCATAAATAGCTCTTATTATTTTGAGATACCTCCCATCAATACCTAATTTATTGAGAGTTTTTAGCATGAAGTGCTGTTGAATTTTGTCAAAGGCCTTTTCTGCATCAATCGAGATAATCATGTGGTTTTTGTCATTGGTTCTGTTTATATGCTGGATTACATTTATTGATTTGCATATGTTGAAGCAGCCTTGCATCCCAGGGATGAAACCCACTTGATCATGGAGGATAAGCTTTTAGGTGTGTCGCTGGATTCACTTTGCCAGTATTTTATTGAGGATTTTTGCATCAATGTTCATCAGGGTTATTAGTCTAAAATACTCTTTTTTTAATTGTGTCTCTGCCAGACTTTGGTATCAGGATGATGCTGGCCTCATAAAATGAGTTAGGGAGGACTCCCTCTTTTCCTATTGATTGAAATAGTTTCAGATGGAATGGTACCAGCTCCTCCTTGTACCTCTGGTAGAATTCGGCTGTGAATCCATCTGGTCCTGGACTTTTTTTGGTTGGTAAGCTATTAATTATTGCCTTAATTTCAGAGCCTGTTATTGGTCTATTCAGAGATTCAGCTTCTTCGTGGTTTACTCTTGGGAGAGTGTATGTGTTGAGGAATTTATCCATTTCTTCCAGATTTTCTAGTTTATTCGCATAGAGGGGTTTATAGTATTCTCTGATGGTAGTTTGTATTTCTGTGGCATCGGTGGTGATATACCCTTCATCATTTTTTATTGCGTATACTTGATTCTTCTCTCTTTTCTTCTTTATTAGTCTTGCTAGCAGTCTATCAATTTTGTTGATCTGTTCAAAAAACCAGCTCTTGGATTCATTGATTTTTGAAGGGTTTTTTGTGTCTCTACGTCCTTCAGTTCTGCTCTAATCTTAGTTATTTCTTGCCTTCTGCTAGCTTTTGAATGTGTTTGCTCTTGCTTCTCTAGTTCTTTTCACTGTGATGTTAGGGTGTCAGTTTTATATCTTTCCTGCTTTCTCTTGTGGGCATTTCGTGCTATAAACTTCCCTCTACACACTGCTTTGAATGTGACCCAGAGATTCTGGTATGTTGTGTCTTTGGTCTCGTTGGTTTCAAAGAACATCTTTATTTCTGCCTTCATTTCATTATGTACCCAGTAGTCATTCAGGAGCAGGTTGTTCAGTTTCCATGTAGTTGATCAGTTTTGAGTGAGTTTCTTAATCCTCAGTTCTAGTTTCATTGCACAGTGGTCTGAGAGACAGTTTGTTATAATATCTGTTCTTTTACATTTGCTGAGGAGGGCTTTACTTCCAACTATGTGGTCAATTTTGGAATAGGTGTGGTGTGGTTCTGAAAAGAATGTATATTCTGTTGATTTGGGGTGGAGAGTTGTGTAGGTGTCTATTAGGTCTGCTTGGTGCAGAGCTGAGTTCAATTCCTGGATATCCTTGTTAACTTTCTGTCTCATTGATCTGTCTAATGTTGACAGTGGGGTGTTAAAGTCTCCCATTATTATTGTGTGGGAGTCTAATTCTCTTTGTAGGTCTCTAAGGACTTGCTTTATGAATCTGGG
Organism: Homo sapiens; assembly: GCF_000001405.40. Lineage (NCBI taxonomy): Eukaryota > Metazoa > Chordata > Mammalia > Primates > Hominidae > Homo > Homo sapiens. The sequence continues at coordinate 98,335 of NW_013171805.1, forward strand.
TGCTCCTGCATTGGGTGCATATATATTTAGGATAGTCAGCTCTTCTTGTTGAATTGACCCCTTTACCATTATGTAATGGCCTTGTCTCTTTTGATCTTTGTTGGTTTAAAGTCTGTTTTATCAGAGACTAGGATTGCAACCCCTGCCTTTTTTGTTTTCCATTTGCTTGGTAGATCTTCCTCCATCCCTTTATTTTGAGCCTGTGTGTGTCTGTGTACATGAGATGGGTTTCCTGAATACAGCACACTGATGGGTCTTGACTCTTTATCCAATTTGCCAGTCTGTGTCTTTTAATTGGAGCATTTATCCCATCTACATTTAAGGATAATATTGTTATGTGTGAATTTGATCCTGTCATTATGATGTTAGCTAGTTATTTTGCTCGTTAGTTGATGCGGTTTCTTCCTAGCCGTGATGGTCTTTACAATCTGGCATGTTTTTGCAGTGGCTGGTACTGGTTGTTCCTTTCCATGTTTAGTGCTTCCTTCAGGAGCTCTTGTAGGGCAGGCCTGGTGGTGACAAAATCTCTCAGCATTTGCTTGTCTGTAAAGTATTTTATTTCTCCTTCACTTATGAAGCTTAGTTTGGCTGGATAGGAAATTCTGGGTTGAAAATTATTTTCTTTAAGAACGTTGAATATTGGCCCCCACTCTCTTCTGGCTTGTATGGTTTCTGCTGAGAGATCAGCTGTTAGTCTGATGGGCTTCCCTTTGTGGGTAACCTGACCTTTCTCTCTGGCCGTCCTTAACATTTTTTCTGTCATTTCAACTTTGGTGAATCTGACAGTTATGTGTCTTGGAGTTGCTCTTCTTGAGGAGTATCCTTGTGGCGTTCTCTGTATTTCCTGAATTTGAATGTTGGCCTGCCTTGCTAGATTGGGGAAGTTCTCCTTGATAATATCCTGCAGAGTGTTTTTCAACTTGGTCCCATTCTCCCCGTCACTTTCAGGTACACCAATTAGATGTAGATTTGGTCCTTTCACATAGTCCCCTGTTTCTTGGAGGCTTTGTTTGTTTCTTGTTATTCTTTCTTCTCTAATCTTCTCTTCTCCCTTCATTTCATTTATTTGAACTTCCATCACTTATACCCTTTCTTCCCATTGATCGAATCAGCTACTGAGGTTTGTGCATTCATCACGTAGTTCTCATGCCATGGTTTTCAGCTCCATCAGGCCTTTAAGGACTTCTCTGCATTGGTTATTCTAGCTAGCCATTCATCTAATCTTTTTTCAAGGTTTTTAACTTCTTTGCCGTGGGTTGGAACTTCCTCCTTTAGGTCGGAGTAGTTTGATCGTCTGAAGCCTTCTTCTCTCAACTTGTCAAAGTCATTCTCCCTCCAGCTTTGTTCAGTTGCTGGTGAGGAGCTGTGTTCCTTTGGAGGAGGAGAGGCACTCTGATTTTTAGATTTTTCAGTGTTTCTGCTCTGTTTTTTCCCCATCTTCTTTGTGTTTTTTATCTACCTTTGGTCTTTGATGATGGTGACGTACAGATGGGGTTTTTGTGTCAATGTCCCTTCTGTTTGTTAGTTTTCCTTCTAACAGTCAGGGTTAGAAGGGAACAGCTGCAGGTCTGTTGGAGTTTTCCGGAGGTCCTCTCCTACCCTGTTTGCCTGGATATCAGCAGTGGAGGCTGCAGAACAGCAGATATTGGTGAACAGCAAGTGTTGCTGCCTGATCGTTCCTCTGGAAGTTTTGTCTCAGAGGAGTACCCGGCCATGTGAGGTGTCAGTCTGCCCCTACTTGGGGGTGCCTCCCAGTTAGGTTACTTGAGGAGGCAGTCTGTCCATTCTCAGATCTCAAGCTGCATGCTGGGAGAACCACTACTCTCTTCAAAGCTGTCAGACAGGGACATTTAAGTCTGCAGACGTTTCTGCTGCCTTTTGTTTGGCTATGCCCTGCCCCTAGAGGTGGAGTCTACAGAGGCAGGCAGGCCTCCTTCAGCTGTGGTGGGCTCCACCCAGTTCGAGCTTCCCAGCCACTTTGTTTACCTACTCACACCCTGGCAATGGCGGGCGCCTGTCTCCAGCCTGGTTGCTGCCTTGCAGTTTGATCTCAGACTGCTGTGCTAGCACTGAGTGAGGCTCTGTGGGCGTAGGATCCTCTGAGCCAGGCACGGGATATAATCTTCTGGTGTGCCGTTTGCTAAGACTGTTGGAAAAGCGCAGTATTAGTGTGGGAGTGACCCAATTATCCAGGTGCCATCTGTCACCCCTTTCCTTGGCTAGGAAAGGGAATTCCCCGACCCCTTGTGCTTCCTGGGTGAGGCAATGCCTCACCCTGCTTCAGCTCAGGCTGGGTGCACTGCACCCACTGTTCTGCACCCACTTCCGACAGTCCCCAGTGAGATGCACCTGGTACCTCAGTTGGAAATGCAGAAATCATTCATCTTCTGCATCACTCATGCTGGGAGCTGTAGACTGGAGCTGTTCCTATTCGGCCATCTTGGCTCCACCTCTTCCTATTGTTGGTTCTTAAGAGACAAACCAGGCCTGTTACGTTCCCTCCCTCCTTAATTCAATGGAAGAACATCAAATCCAATTCGTTATCAAGACAGACATATTTTAAAAGATATAATTTTTGTTCTTTTAAAGACACTATTAAGAAAATGAAAAACTCATCCACTCAGAGAACTTAATTGCTGAACATGGATATGATAACAGATTTGTATCCAGGAAATATAAAGAATCCTCAAAAATAAGAATAAAAATAATTTAAAATGGGCAAAAGATGTGAAGGGGCAGTTCACTAAAAAAAAATATACAGATGGCATGAAAACACATAAAAAATCCTCAATATTATTATTCCTTATAACAACACAAAAAGCACAATGAGATATTACAACAAAAATTAGAATGGTAGAAGTGAAGAAAAAAATGAGAATACTATGTGCTAATGAGTATGTAAAACAATCAGAATTCTTAAACACTGCTCACCAGGATATAAAATAGTGGAAAAAAATAGTTTGTAAATTTCTTCTAAAACAAACATGCATTTACTACATAATCCAGCATTTGCACAACTAGATCTTTAACTAGAAGAAATAAAAATTTATGTTCACACACACAAATATGTGGATATGTGTAGTTGTTTTATGTATAATTGGCCCAAACTGCAAACTGGTGAATGAATAAACAAAATGTGGTAGATTCTTTTTCTTTTTTGTGATTTAAAAGAGATTTTAATTAATTACTTTGTGCTTTTGATAAAGCCGCATTGAGCCATTCGTTATTAATCATTTTTACATAAGTGTAATGCATGTATTTATTAGATTCTTAACAAACACTGGAAAAATCACTTGACAATAAAACAGAACAAACTACTGATACATACAAAAACATGGATCAATACAAATGCATAATGCTAAGGGAAAGAAACCACACTCAAATACCTGTATGCCGTATATTTGTCAAGCAAATTTTCTGAACAATTAAGTGCCTAGAAAAATACCTGCAGCATTCTCTCATTAATATCAAACTCTTTCCCTAACACAACACCACACAGTACTTCAAGGGAGTGTTATGATGGTCAAATGTAATAATAGATTGAGTAAAAATGTAATAATGTGAAGTGTATAAATACTCTCTTGCTGTGTAAAGCTCTATTTAAAGATGGCAAGACAAAAAGGATGCTGGCTTTTGGGTAAAGAGACCTTGACCAGTAGCACAACTTTTGTTGTCAACCAGCTAAACTACCATGGACAAGACTTAGTGTCTCTCTGGACTTCTATTGTAAAGTGAGATGTTCTAAATTTAGCTTCAAATTCAGAAAAATTATTTACTTTATATGAACTTTGAAGCATATTCTGTAATTCATACATGCCAAGTGTACCATTTTAGATATTGTGTTACTTATCTCTCATTGAAAACATATCATAACTGGACACCTAATTAGAAAATTTAATAATAAGATTAATAAAATATAAACTGGCTCAAAGATTCCATGTTCAAAGAGTTCATTGGTGGAATATACCAATAAATGATATATATGATTAAAACATTTTGGTTCTTGTCAGCACATTATAGAGCAACATAGACTTTGTTTTGCTTAGGCTTTTATCAAAAAAGGAATGCTATTGTGAATAAACAAAAATAAATGTATATTGGAAACTTTTTCATTGCTAAGTGTGGGTTTTTCATTTTGTTGTTGTTAGTAGAGTTGGTATTGTTTTTGCACTCATAAAATTCTGTAACATTAACTTGTTATGTTATATTTTTCTCAACTCTAAGATCTATAAAAACAGTGTCATAAAATATACATACATATGTGTATGCATATACATATATGTATGTGTATATATATATATATATATATATATATATATATATTTATATATTCCCAGCTAGGTATTGTCTTATACTTAATACTTGCTTGATAGATGTGCATAGGTTGATTGATTCAAATTTATATGTCTGTGTAATAAATCTTACTTTTTAGAATACTGATCTATGATTTGTTTCAAATTATAAATAGGCTAGATAAAAACAACAAGCTCCTAAATTTTACTGCAGAATAACAAACTCTGCTTTAAATTACTTGAGATTAAAATGAACTGTATTCAATTACAGTTATTCATAGACTTCTAGGTCTATTATACAGTCCAGTGTAAGTTTAATTGTCTTATAATGATACAAGTAGAGGTTCATAGAGATAATTCTAATACATCTTCCTGAGACAATTACTGTCCATTGTCCATTAGCCAGAAAGAAGTAAGTTTCCACTTTCATCACTCATAACTTTTGATTCTAGAAGGATGGTGGGAGCAAAGGACAAAATCTAATGCTCATGAGTCATCCTATTTGTTTCTTCTTTGGCTGAGCTCCAGACCCTAAGAAAAGCAAAAGCTCATCATAGTTCTAAGATTGTCCCCTTCTTCCCACTCCATAATCAATTACACATTACTAATAATAAGCATGATGTCTTGCTTTCACTCAGTCTGAGTGACCAGTTAGGTTCTATAGGCGATCTCTTTGACACATGGCAGTGGTCAAGTTGGCATCTTGATTCACTGTCCAGGGAATTACAAGCTGACCTAATCAGCTGATGTGATTAGTTAAAAGTATGCAAACAATATTACTCCATTCCTTTAATTTGGCTTAATTATTACATTTGTTATTTAGAAATTTTAGATAAATTATAAGGTGAACTGAAAAGCTGCTCTTAGTTCCTTTTCATTATAATGTTAGTTTTTTGATATAATCTTAAACAAAATTCAAATAAAAAATATAGTTATCAAATGTTTAATGCTTTTCCATGTATGGCAGTTATTAAAATAAATTGATTACACAAAACACATCTTCAGTGAAAAACTGTAGTCAAGAAACTTGGTAATGTCAGTAGATTACAGCACTGCACTATGAGATGAGTAAAAGTGTAATTTGAAGAGCAAGCAATTCACATTTTGGAATATCAGGGCAAAGGATTTTCTGGCTCATAATAATACAAATGTCCAGATTGCATTTCAAGACATGACCTTTGTTATGCATAAGTACTTTTTGCAAGAAATAACTTTTGCACATAAAATTTTATGTATTTTCAGGGTTGATTTGACTACAATAAATCTTTTACTAAATAAGCCTTAATATCAGTGGGGAGAGCACAAGTGAATAAAGTCAGAATATTCCTTAGCAAATCCATGAATGTATTAAATGGGTAACAGTAATTTATTTTTTCCACAATCTAGCCCGGGATAGACACTATGATTTGTTTCAACCAAACTCTTTAATTTATAAAATATACATTCTCAAAATGTAATATGATTTAAAAACCTTCCCATTTTCTTTTAGTCTTTGGAAGTATAACATAGGTGAAGAACATGGATGTAGGTATTGGATGGTTATTTAAATGCTTTTTCCAATTTCCTGACCTTGAGCAAACATGTAAATAGTTACTTTACTTGGAGAAAGATTATAGAATGTCAACTGCACAGTATTCTTGTTAGAACAGTGCTGGCATTTGTAAGGTGCCTAGGACTGCTTCAGGCTTACAGTAGGTACCCAATAAATGACATTTACTCCCTTTACCTCATATATTACCCAGGTTTACAGATCTGTTCACGTAAGACTGCTGTGTAAGTGTTGTAACTTATTACAGAGTACATTTTTTTGTCAGTTGGCTGAGAAAGCAGGAGTTACTGACACATATTGCTGGAATAATTCTTATCCTTTTAACTATGAAAAAAAAAGAACCGTTATAATTCTCAGCTGAAAATATGTGAGAAAATCTGGGGAGTCCAAGCATCTCTGTCCTGGATCAATTACGAGCATTTATGCCTGTCCTTTTCTTCACCTTCCTTTGGTCTTTAACATACAGTCACAGAATTAGGGTCACCCCAAGTAGTAGGAAAATATGAAAAGGGCAAGCAATCCTTGCCCTGGAAGCATCATCTTTTTGAGGCCCCAGTTACCTGGAAGTATGAGGCTGGGCTTCCCAATAAGCAGATCAGCATGCAGGAAATTTATTATGAGGTCTCTTAAAATCAATTTCAGATGAAGGAAAGAGAGGAGAATGAAGGGGAGGGGAAGAGGTGGGTGAATAAATAGGATGAGAAGGAGACTAGACCAGGCAGTGGGTTGAGCAGCAACTTCTTTCATGGGAAGCATCAGTTGACCCTATAAAAAAAGATCTACCTGTCTTATGTTGGGGTCACATGATTAGTTATTTACATGCCTGCAATGGTCAGTCATTGGATGCAGAATCCTTGACAAGGAGAACAGTCTTGTCAGCTACCAGGGAAGAATAAGTCCTTCATTACTGAAAGGGGATCTGTATGGTACATCAATCACCAACCATGTCGATTTTCTGGAATGTTTTTCCCTGTATGATGCTTTAAACATTCTCAGTCCCTCAAGATATGTATACAGTGACTTTCACACATTTATTCTGCTGATTTTTTGCTGGTTCATTAGTTCAGAAGTACTGGAGTCCTCAGCATTCTTATTTACTGTCTGCTCAGAGCTTCAATATGCCTTGTTTCTCAAGAGATGGCTGGAGTTCTTCATTTTGCAACAGATGCTGAGTTAGGCCTTGCTCAAATACCTCAGTACAACCATGCTTCAACAAAACAACAAAGAACATTTTGGTGCTCTATCCTCATACCTGTCAACTAAGCATGTGTGTGTGTCTGTATGTGTGCATGTATGTGTAAAAAGAATAAATAAGAATAATTTTTCATTAGGTTTTTTTTTTAAAGATGAGTAAATCTGCCAAGGCAGTAGATGCAGAAGAGGTTGTTTCATTTATCGTTAACAGAAAGTTCAAATCTAGTATACTGTGTATTATTTCCCAGATTGAGTCACATCACTGCTATAGAAAAGAACAATAATTTCCTATTCCACAGTGGAACAGAATGGAGATTTATATCCTTGGTAACAACTGCTACTTCTTTGTCTAATAGTCATAATTGCAATTAGTGGGCATTAGTGTTTCAACATTCCCTCCTAAAATGTTGGCCACCTGCAGCATCTAATAATTCCCTCTTTTTTGTACTTATTAAGCTGCAAGTATGGACTCAAAAATAATATTTAAACCTAAAATAAGGGAAACAAAAGTGTTCCATGGTATAGATGTGGTTTGTGCGACCTATCAGTGGAAAGCAGTAATTGGTCTCAATAGGGTGTAAACTAGAGAAGATTGGCAAAAGGCAAATGCATGTAAGAGTGTAATTGGGATAAAAGGATTCCTATTACTTTTTCTCCTTTGTTTTCAGTTTGAAAGGCCAGGGAACTACTATTCTTCCTTCAGATTTACATGAGGACACAGTATTTGTCCATTTTTATGCTGCTGATAAAGACATACCCAAGACTGGGTAATTTATAAAGAAAAAGAGGTTTAATGGACTCACAGTTCCAGGTGGCTGGAGATGCCTCACAATCAAGGTGGAAGGCGAAAGGTCACATCTTACTTGGCAGCAGACAGAAGAACATGAGAGCCAATTGAAAGGAGTTTCCCCTTATAAAACCATCAGATGTCATGAGGCTTATTCACTACCATGAGAATAGTATGGGGGAAACCGCCCCCATGATTTAATTATCTCCCACCGACTCCCTCCCACAACATGTGGGAATTATGGGAGCTGCAATTCAAGATGAGGTCTGGGTGGGGATACAGCCAAACCGTATCAGACACCATAGACAAACAAGAGTCCTTTATTATAAAAGAGGTTTCTTCTCATTATATATCATGTTCATGACAGAATAAGTCTGAATTTTGAACAAATCAAATATTCAAAAGTATTACATTTTGGGGGGGATTGTTCAGTTGAAAGTTTTCTTAATAGTGTTATCTTCTGTCTCTAAAGAATCGCAACACATAAATCTGGTTATTCCTTATATTCATTTCTTATTTTTCTCTCCTTTTTTTTTTTTTTTTGGTTGAGATGGAGTCTCGCTCTGTTGCCCAGGCTGGAGTGCAGTGGCGCGATCTCTGCTCACTGCAAGCTCTGCCTCCTGGGTTCACGCCATTCTCCTGCCTCAGCCTCCTGAGTAGCTGGGCCTACAGGCACCCACCACCACGCCTGGCTAATTTTTTTGTATTTTTAGTAGAGACGGGGTTTCACTGTGTTAGTCAGGATGGTCTCGATCTCCTGACCTTGTGATCCACCCACCTCGGCCTCCCAAAGTGCTGGGATTACAGGCATAAGCCATGGCTCCCGGCCCCATTTCTTATTTTTCTAATAGGCACTAACACTGAAAAAGATGAGGAAACAATATCTAAGCATAACAAATGGGGAAATGCTATAAACCAACAAATGTGCTTTTTATGAGAATTTTCTAGTTCAAAAAAATGAAATACTACTTACAATGACATTTGCTATCCTAGGCATCTTGTGCTTCCTCATCTGCTGGTGTCACTAAATTGTTATGTAACAAAGTCATTGGATGCGTCATAGAAAATATGCCCAAATTATCCATTTTTTAAGAAATGTATTATATGTGGTGCCTGGTTAGCTTTTTTATCTTGACAAAGCATGGGGACAATATTCCATTGTGACATGATTGGCTGTTGAACATTAAAGAAAATAAGCTAACTACATGTAAAATTTTTCAGCTCTGTGAATGAAGCTTCATTCTCTTTCTTGAGAATGGCAAAATGTATTTTTTTGTGGGGGGGCAATCACATTACCGTGCCGAAATATTTTGTTTTCCATCTTGTTGGTGCCTTCTGACACTCTTCATTTTCTTTTTATGGGTTTTTAATTAATTCATTAATTTCACCTCTCAGCATGAAGGATAATGCTCATTCAGAGTTTGACATTTCTCCATTTGGCAAATTGTTGTTGCAGAGGATGTTGTCGGTTTGATGTTGAATTTGATAAAATATCCTATTTAAATATTCAAATTTTAGATTCATAGAGCTTTTATATATGAGAACATTTTCCAATAAGTATCATTTAAAAAGTTCTAACTTACAATATTTTATGGCGTCTAGTATTAACAATGAAAAAATAATAAGGAAGTCTGGAGTGGGAGAGATTGGTAAGAATAAGTTGAGACACAAAATAGGAATAACTCTATTTACAGAAATCTCTCTATGCTGAAATCATGTTTACTAGTCACCACAGGGAGAAATGGAACATGAGCAGCAGATGTATGTGATAACTGATGAGACACTGAATATATTGTCTGTTTGGAAAGGAGTCACAAATAAAAATTCAAATATATTATGCCTGGTAGAAAGGGTGACATCTAAAACTCAATCCAGTGAAATAAAGGACCCTAAAGCTCTGCCATTTCTGAATTCTCAGGTCAACTTAATTCCAGGGGGACCTGTCGTTTTTGTGAGCAATAAAACCCAGCTGATGTTATTATTAGATACAATCCATTCACTGCATACTATGAGGGTAAAACATCTTATTCTCTAGGGAACAGACTAGTGATATCTCCTTTTGGAGAAAAAAAAAAGTATGAAAGTGTCTTTTTTGAGCAGGAAATAAAATGCATATTTCCTTCAATAACAAATAATAGATTGAGCTTGATAAAGGGGTCTGGGAATTTAAAGATTCTCTGAAAATTCCTCTAGAGAAATTAGGAATAACTGTAGACAAATTAGGTGAGGAGAGAGATGGGCTTTCTCCCCTTTCTCCCTTCAGAAAAATAATAATAATAAAACTCATATAAATGTGTAACGCTTCTTTCCTCAGTTTTAGTAAGCAATTAATCAGCTCAGTAATATAGGCACCAGTACACTTTATGGATATGTAAATTTGTTGGATGTTTTATGCTATAGACTCATTGTATTTGCATTTACACCATTTTTTTCTGCATTGTTTAACAAAACTGTACATGCAGTTGAAGTCCTCTCTCCACTGTATATAGGTAGGCACAGCCTTTCCTGATAAGGAGCACAGGAAATCAGACTAGATTTACACAAAATGGCATTCCCTAGCTGTATTTGAACTGCTGATGTAGCAGCCTCTGCACCCTCAGCTTGAACTTATCCAAAGGAGAGAAGCATTTGTTTTCCTCCATATGAAGAAAAAAGGAAGAACCTAGAGGGCACACCTTCACCATAAATCTGCCTGAGAAATTTCTGTGGCTCCAGTTCCATGTGGGAAGGCATTGACATTCTTCTTCAGGCGCCAGAAACTTCCACAGAGAATGTAAGTGGTACGCTTATAGAGCACCAACCTGGAAACCACACATCCTGAATTTTAAGCTCTTTAGAATAAGGCAACATACAAAAGACATATGATTGTGTGGGATAAGCATTTGCTGGTTTAACATGTAAAAATTATCAAGCATGTCCATTATGGGTACACATTCCCGTAGACGCTAAAACTGTGTGTTACAGGTCTTATATATTTACTCATATTATAATTTCCAACATATACTCAGAACAAAGAAGTTCTAGATTTACCATAACACTAAGAATAATGACTTGCTTTTTTGTTTTTGTTTTTTAAATGATTTCTATATTTATTAATTAAATTAATGCTTGCATATTATTTTTAAAGTCTGTTACTATTATTCATTGAGCCAATAAAATGTATCATCTTTTAAGTCTCAGGTATGATTCTGAAATTCCAAGAAAATAGTAGTGAACAAAATCATCAAGGATCTGACTCTGTCATGGAATTAATTAGCTTGCAGTAATGGATAATGCATATTTACTAACTCATTAAATGCTACTATTAGTTTCTCCATTTTGTCCAAATTTCAGAGAACAAGGGACTTAATATTAAATCTGGTTTTAATTTGTACAGGGTTTTAAAATTTAATTTAATTTGTATGTCTACAGAGGTAAAGTGAAATTCTGATTAAAGATAGTGTGAAGGGGATTGAATTAGGGTATTTATCTATTCCCCAAATATATTTTTTGGCTATGGTTTGAGATATATATATATATATATATATATATATATATATATATATATAAAACCATATATATGTATATATATATGTGTGTGTGTGTATTCTGAAAAGTTACATATATTTACTGAATATATATATATATGTATATATATATTTACTGAAAGAGCTACAATCACATGTCCATTTGTTCTGATGAAGTAAAACTCAATCTAAATGTTTTTATAATCATGAAAATCCAATGACTGTTACAAAATCTCAAACACTGTCCTAAGTCCTCAAGAGCTAGATGTCTCTCTCTCTCATTCTTCCTTTCCCTCTTTTTTTAAAAATAAATTAAAATGTGGATGATCCAAACTATTCACAAGAATCCTAAGTCAAAAGCCAAGAAAGATTCTGTTTTCTAGATATACACAATCTACTGTAATGTTTCTTGATGTAAGATATGTTAATAGTCTATGAATCAGCTTATTAAGGAGCTCTGTTTAATGCTGCTACTAAATCCAATATAAGTTTTCACCCATTCACCTTAGGCTTTTTTAAAACCAAAATGTTCCACTTGAAAACCTATCTTCAGAGCCTCATAAGATATAATAAGTAACACCAGTGTATCAGAATTATCACACAAATTTTACTGTATAATGATAATTTTTCCTGGACCTCCTAGGGATTGTTCAGTTTAGCAGTAGTAGAGGAATTTCTGTCAATATTTAATCTGTATTGACTGTTGGATTGATTACAGTGCATGATACTGATTACATCCATCTTCCCAAACAGTGTAGTCCCTCCTGGTGACAAAACTCTATTGATACACTCTCCCTGATCATGAAAAATTGCAAAACTGCTGAGATTTCTACTTTTATATAATTTATTACCCTTCCCAGATAATGCAAGAAGACATGAAGTTATATTTTGTTTTCAATCTTTGTTGTGTGGTGGTTTTATAAGACAGAGATTAACAGGTCCTATCACAGCCATTTTACCACCTTTGCCCTTTGTCCTGTAGAGCATTGTATTAGTTCGTTTTAATGCTGCTAACAAAGACATACCTGAAACTGGACAATTTACAAAAGAAAGAGGATTAAGGAATTCAGAGTTTCACATGGCTGGGGATGCCTGACAATCATGGTGGAAGGCAAAGAGGAGCAAGTCATGTCTTACATGGATGGCAGCATGCAAAGAGAGAGCTTTAATAAAGAACACAGGTACTTTCATGCAGGGATACTTTCATGTTTAAAACCATCAGATCTTGTGGGACTCATCCACTATCACAAGAAAAGCACAAGAAAGACCCACCCCCATAATTCAATCACCCTCCACCAGGTTTCTCCCATGTGTCATGGGAATTGTGGGAGTTACAATTCAAGATGAGATTTGGGTAGGGACACAGCCAAACAACAGCAAGCACCATTTTGTTAATTTTTAAAAAATAAAAACATATTTTGTCGTTGTTTAAAATACACAGGAAATGTGATACTACAAGTTATACTGTTCTATGGAAACTTTGTATAAACTACAGTAAAACAAATGAGCAATTTTTGATTTTAAATTTTAAAACCTTTTGCCTATTGAAAATCATCTGAATACACAGGAAAAAATATTCCTATTATTATAATGATAGATGATACACAAGGCTTTAAAATAGCAGAAAAAGACAGTGTTTTTATTCTTATTTCAGAAATCATGAATAATTATATTAAAAGGAAAGCACATGTTATTTTGAGGTAAAATATTGGAACAACAGTGTATGAAGGAATACCCTAAATGCCTGCATTTAGTAAATGCCCAAAATGTTAAATTGAGATACTGAAAGATGCTTGAATTTGATTTGTGGCAAATATAGCAGATTTTATTCTATAAAAGAGACACTCATTCTGTAAAGGAAACTGTAATTTTCTTGTTTGAGCATGCAGAGAAAGTTGCATTAGTCTTATAATAAGAGATTCTGGGATGCACTGTGATACCATAGAGTAGTGGTTGTGCTTCAACTGAACGAGAAATCAAACAGTGGGGTGGAGATTCACTCTACACAGCTAGCATCCCTAAAGCTGGGAATCTCTATTGGCTGTGGAAAGATAAAAGCTAAAATAACTCTGACACAAAAATGAAAACAAGCACATACCCTAGTACAAGGACATTCATAGAAAAAAACCCAAACAAAAACATATTTTCATACATTTTCTGAGTCAGAAAGAATGTCTTCTGAAAAGAACATTAGCATGACCTTTCCCAACATAAGCATTTTCAAAGTAGAAAGGAGTATGAAATCTATAAAAAGATACACATATACAAAAAAGAAATGAATTAGTTTTTAAAAGCTATAAATGGACATTTGATAGAAAAAAGAGACACTATTGAGCAAATAAAATTCATTTCCAAACATTACAAAAACTCAAAGAATTTCAAAAATCAGCCAAAATAAATTGACTCCAAGTTGAAATGCCACAACTCTGGGAAAATACAGAAAGAGACAAAACATCTCTGGCAGGGCCCATAGAAAGGAGTTGAAGGTAATACTGTCTAAGAATTATAGAAAACGTTGGAAACAGTCCAAAGGAGAACAGACACAGTTGAATAGACAATAAGCTACATGAAAGATAGGAATAAGTGAAAGCAAGATAAACAAAAGCAGAAGAGAGAAAGAAAGAAAATTATCACAACATAACATATGTAAAGTTTATAAAAAAATTTGTATTTATATCCCCCCAAATGAGAACTAAATAAAAGTATCAGATAAAAATGTAAAAATATAAAATATTATCACAAAGGAAGTCTTGCAAAACATATCTTATAAATTACAAGAATTTATATCATGGAAGGGGCTACCGTATTTCATAAAAGTCAGAGAGAAACATTGAGACAGACTGACAAGAGGCTAGATGTTGAAGGCAGAGAATTCCATGAGCATTCAAGCAAATGTAATTAAAGCACCCATGAAGAGAAAAGAGAAAACCAAACTAGCCTCACTGCTAGAAAGAAACTGCTGATCAGAGACAAAAAAAAAAAAAAAAAGAATTTTATCTGACATTTTCATTGTCATTTCTTTGATTACTAATAAGATGAAAAAACTTTTTATTTATTTATCAACCATTCTGTTTCCCTTTTTTGTTAAGTTCTTAATACATTAGATCTATTTTTCCTTTAGTTTACCCATTTTTTCTTTTAGCCATATATATATATATATATATATATGCCCAAGTTTTTGTTATTATACTTTAAGTTCTGGGATACATGTGCAGAACGTGCAGGTTTGTTACATAGGTATAAACGTGACATGGTGGTTTGCTGCATCCATCAATCTGTCATCTACATTAAGTATTTCTCCCAATGCTATCCCTCCGCTTGCCCCCCATCCCCTGACAGGACCCGGTGTGTGATGTTCACCTCGCCGTGCCCATATGTTCTCATTGTTCAACTCCCACTTATGAGCGAGAACATGCAGGGTTTGGTTTTCTCTTCCTGTGTTTGTTTGCTGAGAATGATGTTTCCAGCTTCATCCATGTCCCTGCAAAGGACATGCACTCATTCTTTTTTATGGCTGCATGGTATTCCATGGTGTATATGTGCCACATTTTCTTTACCTGGTCTATCATTGATGGGCATTTGGGTTGGTTCCAAGTCTTTGCTATTGTAAATAGTGCTGCAATAAACATACATGTGCATGTGTCTTTATAGTAGAATGATTTATAATCCTTTGGGTATATACCCAGTAATGGGATTGATGGGTCAAATGGTACCTCTAGTTCTATATCCTTGAGGAATCACCGCACTGTCTTGCACAATGGCTGAACTAATTTAAACTCCCAACAACAGTGTAAAAGCATTCCAATTTCTCCACATCCTCTCCACCATCTGTTGTTTCCTCACTTTTTAATGATTACCATTCTATGTAGCATGAGATGGTATCTCATTGTGGCTTTAATTTGCAGTTCTCTAATGACCAGTGATGACGAACTTTTTTTTCATATGTTTCTTAGCCACATAAATGTCTTCTTTTAAAAAGTGTCTGTTCATATCCTTCACCCACTTTTTGATGGGGTTGTTTGTTTTTTTTCTTGTAAATTTGTTGAAGTACCTTATAGATTCTGGATATTAGCCCTTTGTCAGATGGATAGACTGCAGAAATTTTCTCCCATTCTGTAGGTTGCCTGTTCACTCTGATGATGATTTCTTTTGCCATGCAGAAGCTCTTTAGTTTAATTAGATCCCATTTGTCACTTCTGGCTTTTGTTGCAATTGCTTTTGGTGTTTTAGTCATGAAGTCTTTGCCCATGCCTATGTCCTGAATGGTATTGCCTAGGTTTTCTTCTAGAGTTTTTATGGTTTTAGGTCTTATGCCTAAATTTTTAATCCATCTAGAGTTAATTTTTGTATAAGGTATAAGGAATGGGTCCAGTTTCGGTTTTCTGCATATGTCTAGCCAGTTTTCCCAGCACCATTTATTAACTAGGGAATCCTTTCCCCATTAATTGTTTTTGTCAGGTTTGTCAAAGATCAGATGGTTGTAGATGTGTGGTGTTATTTCTGAGGCCTCTGTTCTGTTCCATTGGCCTATATACCTGTTTTGGTACCACTATCATGCTGTTTTGGTTACTGTAGCCTTGTACTATAGTTTGAAGTCATGTAGCATGATGCCTCCAGCTTTGTTCCTTTTGCTTAGGATTGTCTTGGCTATATGGGCTCTTTTTTGGTTCCATATGAAATTTACAGTAGCTTTTTTCTAATTCTGTGAAAAAAGCCAATGGTAGCTTGATGGGGATTGCATTGAACTTATAAATTACTTTGGGCAGTATTGCCATTTTCATGATAATTATTCTTCCCATTCATGAGCATGGAATGTTTTTTCATTTGTTTGTGTCCTCTCTTATTTCCTTGAGCAGTGGTTTGTATTTCTCCTTGAAGAAGTTCTTCACATCCCTTTAAGTTGTATTCCTTGGTATTTTATTCCCTTTGTAGCAATTGTGAATGGAAGTTCACTCATGATTTGGCTCTCTGTTTGTCTAT
Organism: Homo sapiens; assembly: GCF_000001405.40. NCBI lineage: Eukaryota > Metazoa > Chordata > Mammalia > Primates > Hominidae > Homo > Homo sapiens. The sequence goes on from NW_013171805.1 coordinate 114,643, forward strand.
TATTGGTGTATAGGAATGCTTGTGATTTTTGCACATTAATTTTGTATCCTGAGACTTTGCTGAAATTGCTTATCACCTTAAAGAGTTTTGGGGCTGAAACAATGGGGTTTTCTATATATACAATCATGTCGTCTGCAGACAGAGATAATTTGACTTCCTCGCTTCCTAAATACCCTTTATTTTTTTCTCTTGCCTGATTGCCTTGGCCAGGACTTCCAATACTATGTTGAATAGGAGTGGTGAGAGTTGGCATCCTTTTCTTATGCCAGTTTTCAAAGGGAATGCTTCCAGCTTTTGCCCATTCAGTATGATATTAGCTGTGGGTTTGTCATAAATAACTTTTTTTATATGTTCCATCAATACCTAGTTTATTGAGTGTTTTTAGCATGAAGCGTTGTTGAATTTTATCGAAGGCCTTTTCTGCATCTGTTGAGAAAATCATGTGGTTTTTGTCATTGGTTCTGTTTATGTGATGGATTATGTTTATTGATTTATGTATGTTGAAACAGCCTTGCATCCCAGGGATGAAGCCGACTTGATTGTGGTGGGTAAGCTTTTTAATGTGCTGCTGGATTCAGTTTGCCAGTATTTCATTGAGGATTTTTGCATTGATGTTCATCGGGGATATTGGCCTGAAATTTTCTTTACTCTAGACCCTGTTGGCCTGGGTATCACCAGCAGAGGCTGCAGAACAGCAAAGATTGCTGCCTGCTCCTTCCTTTGGAAACTCATCACAGAGGGGCACCTGCCAGAAGCCAGCCGGAGATCTCCAGTATGAAGTGTCTGTCAACCCCTGTTGGGAGGTGTCTTCCCATCAGGAGGCATGGGGGTCAGTGACCCACTTAAGAAGGCAGTCTGTCCCTTATCTGAGCTTGAGCGCTGTGCTCAGAGATCTGCTGCTCCGTTCAGAGCCAGCAGGCAGAAACCTTTAAATCTGTTGAAGCTGCACCCACAGCCACCCTTTCACCCAGGTGCTCTGTCACAGGGAGATGAGAGTTTTATCTATAAGCCTCTGACTGGGGCTGCTGCCTTTCTTTCAGAGATGGCTTGCCCAGAGAGGAGGAATCTAGAGAGGCAGTCTGGCTACAGTGGCTCTGTGGCACTGAGGTGGGCTCTACCCAGTCAGAACTTCCAGGTGGCTTTGCATACGCTGTGAGGGGAAAACCGCCTACTCAAGCCTCGTAATGGTGGACACCCCTCCCTCCGCCAAGCTTGAGTGTCCCAGGTCAACTTCAGACTGCTGTGCTGGCAGCAAGAATTTCAAGCCAGTGGATCTTAGCTTGCTGGGCTCCTTGGGGGTGGGATCCGCTGAATAAGACCACTTGGCTCCCTGGCTTCAGCCCCCTTTCCAGGGGAGTGAACGGTTCTGTCTCACTGACGTTCCAGGCATCACTGGGGTGCCAAACAAACAAACAAACAAACAAACAAAAAACTCCTGCAGCTTGCTTGCTGTCTGCCCAAACACCTGCCCAATTTTGTGCTTGAAACCTAGGGCCCTTGTGGTGTAGGGACGAGGGGAAATCTCCTGGTCTGTGGGTTGCGAAGACCATGGGAAAAGCGTAGTATCTGGGCCCGATAGCACCGTCTCTCCCGGCAGAGTCCCTCAAGGCTTCCCTTGGCTAGGGGAGGGAGTTCCCCCACCCCTTGCACTTCCCAGGGGAGGCGACAGCCCACCCTGCTTCAGCTCGCCCTCCTGGGCTGCACCCACTGTCTAACCAGTCCCAGTGAGATAAACCAGGTACCTCAGTTGGAAATGCAGAAATAACCAGCCTTCTGTGTTGGTCTCACTGGGAGCCACAGAATGGAGCTGTTCCTATTCAGTCATTTTGCCTGGGAGCCATACATGGGATTATTTTTAAAACTGTATCTTCTCAATGTATAGATTGGCTTTTTACTTTCTTATATTTTCATTAACCGAAATTGTTTTAGTTTAGAATTATTGCTCAATCCTTCCCTTTATAGTTTGTGCTATTTGTTTCTCTTTAAAAAGGGTTTTCTGCCCTGAAATCACATTCTTCCTGATTTTCATTTAATTTTTAAACTATTTATTTTGAAATAATTATAAATTCATAGAAAGTTGCAAAGATAGTACCGAGAAGTCCCCAGTACCTTTCCCCTACTTCACCCAGTTTCCTCCATGGGTCACTTATTACACAACAACAATACAAGAACAACAGCTGGAAATCAGCAATAGTACACTGCATGTGAATATTCTGTTATTTTATCACATGTGTAAATTCATGGAACCACCAATAAAATCAAGATACAGGAATATTTTTTTACACCAAATCTCCCTCATGCTGCACCTTCATATTCACACCCACTTCCTTTCCCCTACCATCTTAACTCCAGGAAACCACTAATTTGTTCTCTATGTGTATAGTTGTGCCATATTGAGAATGCCATATAGACAGAATCTTATGGTATGTGAGATGACTCCAATTGTGTTTTTCCTCACTCAACATAAATCCATCGACTTTGTTGCATCTATCAATAATTTGTTCCTTTTTATTGCTGAGATATGTATCTGGCTATGAATGTAGCAATTTGTTTAACCATCACCAATTCTAGGGCAATTTGACTGTTTCCAGTATTTTTGATCATTAGAAATAAAACTGTGAATGATCATGTAGAAGTTTATGTTGAAAATATGTTTTTATTTCTATAAGTGCTAGGGAGTGTGACTGATTACTGGGTCCTATAGCAGGCATATGTCTAGTAATTTTTCTTTTACAAAACCCTTCATTTTAACTTCAGGGGTGCATGAGCAGATTTGTTACATAGGTAAATTTGTGTCATGTGGGTTTGTTGTCCAGGTTCTTTCATCACCCAGGTATTAAGCCTAGCACCAATTAGTTATTTTTCCTGATCTTCTCCCTCCTCTCACCCTCTGATAGGCCCCAGTTTGTGTTGTTCTCCTCTATGTGTCCATCTCTTCTACATGTCCATGGGATCTCATCGGTTAGCTCCCACTTATAAGTGAGAACCTGCAGTATTTGGTTTCATGCTCCTGCATTAGTTTGCTAAGGATAATGACCTCCAGCTCCATCCATGTCCCTGCAAAGGACATAGTATTATTCTTTTGTATAGCTGCATAGTACTCCGTGGTGTATATATACCATATTTTATTTATCCAGTCTGTCATTGATGGGCATTTAGGTTGATTCGATGTCTTTGCTATTGTGACTAGTGCTACAATGAACATACATGTGCATGTATCTTTATAATAGAATGATTGCTTTATATTCCTTTGGGTATATACCCAGTAATGGGATTGCTGTTGAAAGATATTTCTGTCTTTAGTTCTTTGAGGAATTGCTACACTGTGTTCCACAATGGATATTGAACTAATTTATACTCCCACCAACAGTGTATTAGCATCCCTTTTCCTCTGCAACCTAACGGGCATCTGCTATTTTTTGACTTTTTAATAATAGCCATTCTGACCAGTGTGAGATGGTATCTCATTGTGGTTTTGATTTGAATTTCTCTAATAATCAGTGATGTTGAGGTTTCTTTTTTATATATGTGATTGTTGGCTGCATGTATGTCTTCTTTTGAAAAGTGTCTGTTCATGTCCTTGGCCCACTTTTTTTTTATGGGGTTATTTTTTCTTGCAAATTTGTTTAAGTTCCTTATAGATTCTGGATATTAGAACTGTATAATGCAGAAATTTTCTCCCATTGTGTAAGTTGTCTGTGTACTCTGTTGATAATTTATTTTGCTGTGCAGAATCTCTTTAGTTTGATTAGATCCCATTTGTCAATTTTTGCTTTTGTTGCGATTGCTTTTGGCATCTTCATCATGAAATCTTTGCCCACACCTATGTCCAGAATGGTATTGCCTAGCCTATGTTGTCTTTCAGGGTTTTAATAGTTTTTGATTTTACATTTAAGTCTCAGTCTATCTTGAGTTAATTTTTCTATATGGTGTAAGGAACGGGTCCATTTTTAATCTCCTGCATATGGCTAGCCAGCTATCCCAGCACCATTTATTGAATAGAAGATCCTTTCCCCATTGCTTGTTTTTTTTTCAGGTTTGTCAAAGTTCAGATAGCTGTAGTTGTGTGATCTTATTTCTGGGTTCTCTATTGTGTTTCACTGGTCCATGTCCCTGATTATTGTTTTTAATTTTATTTATTTATTTATTTATTTATTTATTTATTTATTTATTACCAGAACCATGCTGTTTGGTTACTGTAGCCCTGTAGCATAGTTTGAAGTTGGGTAGCTTGATGCCTCCAGCTTTGTTCTTTTTGCTTAAGATTGCCTTGGCTATTTGGGCTCCCTTTCTGTTCTGTATGAATTTTAAAATAGTTTTTTGTAGTTCTGTTAAGAATGTCAGTGGTAGTTTTATAGGCATAGCATTGAATCTCTAAATTGCTTTGGGCAGTATGGCCATTTTAACAATACTGATTTTTCCTATCCATGAGTATGGAATGTTTTCCATTTGTTTGTGTCATCTCTGATTTTCTTGAGTAGTGTTTTGTAGTTCTCCTTGTAGAGATCTTTCACCTCCATAGTTACTTGTATTCCTAAGTATTTCATCTACTTTCTTAGGTTTATGCCTACATTCTTTGTATTTCCAGAGTGACTGCACCACTTCACATTCCTACTGGCAGTGCACCAGACTCAGTTTCTCCACATCTTTGACAGACTTTAATATTTTTTTCTATTTCCTTTTTAGATGTTCTGCTAATTTTGTGGAGATATTACATCATAATCTTAATTTGCATTTTTCTGAGGGCTATCGATTTGAACATTTTTTATATGCTTCTCATCTTTATATCTACCTCAATAAAATGTCTCTCTATATATTTTGCCATATAGATAGATAAATAAAATATATATGTGTATATTACATAAAAAATATACATTATATATTTACTGTTGAGTTTTGAGAGTTCTTTATATTTTGTAAATGCAAGTCCTTTGTCAGATATGTGATTTGCAAGTATTTCTTCCTATTCTGTAGGTTGTTTTTTAACCCTTTATTTACAGGTCATTTAACAGAGCAAAGTTATTAATTTTGATAAAGCTGAATTCATTATTTTTAAAAATTATTTTATAGTCCATGATTTGGTGCAATGTGTAAGAATTCTTGACTGAGCCTTAGCTCCCTAAGCTTACTTCTATGTCTTAGTGTCTTATGATTTATATAGAAATTTATGATCCATTTTGAGTTAATTAATATAGAAGGTATGAGGTTTACGCTGAGGTTCAATTTTTTTTTTTTTTTTTTTTTGCCTATGGATATCCAGTTGTTCCAGCACCGTTTTCTGAAAAGACTGTCCTTCTTTCATTAAATTGCTTTGCACTCTGTCAAGAATCAGTTAACTGTACTTGTGTGCAGTTATTTTTGGGTTCTCTATTCAGTTCTGTTTATTTTTTTGTCTATTCCTTGCCAATGGCAGATAGTTTTGATTACTATAGTTAGATAAAAAGCTTTATTGTTAAGTATAGTGATTCTTCTCACTTTGTTCTCTCTCTTTTTTTTTTTTTAAAGGGATTGTCAGTTATTCTTGGGCTTGTGCCTTTCCCTATACATTCAATAATAAGTGTATCTATGTCTTTAAAATGTTGCTCGTATGTTGATAGGAATTCGATTGAATAGGAAATCTGTAAATAAATTCGGGGAGAGTTGATATCTTTACAATCTGAATTCTTCCAGTCTGTGAGTACTATCTGTATTATAGCATTCTCACACTGCTTTAAAGACTTACAAGAGCCTGGGTAATTTATTAGCAAAAAAAAAAAAAAAAAATGAAGAGAGAAATTTAATCAGTTCTGCAGATTGTACAGGCTTCTGCTTCTCGGAGGCCTCAGGAGACTTACAATCATGGCAGAAGGTGAAGAGAAAGCAGGCAAATCTTCAAAAGGGCAGCAGGAGAGAGAGAGAGAACGAGCAAAAGAGAGAGAGTGAAGGAGGAAGTGCTATACATTTTCAAACAATCAGATCTCTTGTGATGACTTTATCATGAGAAGGCACTAGGGATATGTTGCTAAACCAATAGAAACCACCCCCTTGATTCAATCACTTCCCATCAGACCTCTCCTCCAACACCAGGGATTGCAAATCCACATGAGATTTGGGTGAGACACAAGGACAAACCCATATCACCATCCTTTCATAATTTTTCTCAAACTTTCTTACATAATTTTCTATGCCTTTTCCTTAGTATTTCATTCTTTCTCTGGTGATGTGCCATAAAAATCCATACCCATGAAATTTTCATGTATGAGTCAGTTTATTGGAAGAATCTATATCCTGTTTCCTCGTTTAATTTGTATACCTCTGCTTCACTGCCACTAGCTTTTTATTATGTTTCGGTATCTGGAAGGGTAAATTCCTGATCTTCTTTTACTACAAAATAACCTTTACTAATCTGCTTATAAAGTTGTCATCAAGTTATTGATTTCTATGAAATTAAATATTGGGATTATATGGAATTTATAGGTTAATTTTTTTTTTTTTTTTGAGACAGAGTCTCATTCTGTTGCCAGGCTGGAGTGCAGTGGCACAATCTCGGCTCACTGCAACCTCCACCTCCTAGGTTCAAGTGATTCTCCTGCCTCAGCCTCCTGAGTAGCTGGGACTACAGTTCACGCGCCCCCATGCCCAGCTAATTTTTGTATTTTTAGTAGAGACGGGGTTTCAACCGTGTTGGCCAGGATGGTCTCGATCTCTTGACCTTGTGATCTGCCTGCCTCAGCCTCCCAAAGTGCTGGGATTACAGGCGTGAGCCACCACACCAGGCCAACAGGTTATTTTTTTAAAAAGTTAGCATATTTAGGGCAAAGAGGCTTTCTAACCATAGACAGATATATTTCTCTGACTATGAAGTATTAAAATCCTTCAATAAGGTTTTATTATCTTCACTTACTTTGTTAGATTTTTGCTTAGGTTCTTTGTATCTCATGTACTATTGCAAACGTCATTATTTTACATTACATTTCCTAACTCTCTGATGCTGGTATTGAAAAGCATGCTTCATATTCAGGTGTTGATCTTGTACTTAATGATACTTAGCAATTATCTTTTATTCTATTTGACACATTATAAAGCTATAAGTCTAAAGGAGAATGAGATATAGAGTGTCTAGAGTTGACTACCAGATCACCAAGAATAAATTTGTCTACCTTCCCAAATATGAGGATCATATTAAGTGTATTTTGTATGCTCCTTTTACCTATAACTTTATTCTATTTTTACTGTTACATTTCACATAACCCCAACTTTATAAGACTAGCTAATAATTATTGAGCTCCTTTTACATGACCTAAGAAATTAAGCAAATTGCCAAAGACTACATAGCTAGTAGATGGCAAAGCCAATGATAGAATCCAAAAATTTATCTTCAGTGCTTGTGCTTTTAATTACTGTTGTGTACTAGCACAATAATTTTTCTCCTTTTAGTATGGTGTTAGGAGAAATTAGAAACAATGGTATATATTTACATAACAGTCAATGCAAGATACGTCTCCAAAATACCACTATTCCTGTAGGTAACTTTTGCACCAGATAATTTATTTTCTGAAGTTTTTCATTACTTTACTACCATGATAAGAAAACACAAGGAAAAGGAACTCTAGTCAGATCCTTCATTACCAGTTTACCTCTAGTTGTTTTAGTAAAATTTTTTTCTTGTCATGTAGGTCTCACCTATTCCCATTAAGGCTATTCCATGCCCCATCAGCCCTCGCTAAGCCCCATTACAAACTTTATCTTTTTGTGAATAAACTTTTGAGGAAACACTAATGACAAGCATCAACTCTTTTCCAGGGTTCTATATAAATCTTTTTTATAAAAGAGACTTTTCTAGCATGATCTGAGTACTAAATAATACTTTTCTTCCCCAATTGAAGACATGGATGATAGATTTCTAGCAGAAGGAAGACCAGAACGTCCTGATATTATAAGGGAAACATACATAGTCATGATATAGATACTGCTGTTATGATGATGAGATAATGTGGAGTGAAAGAGAAATAACTTAAGTAAAATTATGAAATAGGTATAAAAACTGCTGACACATATTGTATATCTATTTTTTTTTTTTTTTTTGAGACGGAGTCTCGCTCTGTTGCCCAGGCTGGAGTGCAGTGGTGCGATCTTGGCTCACTGCAAGCTCCGCCTGCCGGGTTCACGCCATTCTCCTGCCTCAGCCTCCCGAGTAGCTGGGACTACAGGCGCCCGCCACCACGCCTGGCTAATTTTTTATATTTTTAATAGAGACGGGGTTTCACCGTGTTAGCCAGGATGGTCTCGATTTCCTGACCTCGTGATCCGCCTGCCTTTAAAAGGATCCTGCATAAACAAGCTAACTTAATTTTTACGTCTCTATGAAATGGGAGATATTATTATTTCCACTTACAGATGAAGAAACAGAAAGGCCCAAGATTGCATAGTTAGTAAGGTGCGCAGTCAGGATGCCATCTTAGGCAGGCTGTCCCCAGAGACCAAAGTTTACAGTATCAAACAGCACATTTCTAACACTGGTTGGGCATTAGCTGGCCTAAAATTGTAAGGGAGAACTGCTCCTCTTCATCCCAGGGCATCTATGTATAGTTCTCCATGTAAAAGGTAACTATTATGAATCAGTTTCTGAAGGTCAGAGTCTTCTTTGCATTGTTTTGGTTTGCTTCGGTTTGTTCTCCATCCAAAACATTGTACCAGATAGCATGTTTCTATCCATCAACCGTGTCATGGGCATTTTATTTTATCCAGTTTCAGTTGTTCCGAATAATTATTTACTTTGAGTGTTCCCCAAAGCCTTCAGTAAACTTAAAACCCAGAATGTAGACTCTATTTTAAATCAAACATTTACTTCCAAATCTAGTGAAAATCTAATAATCCCCTAATGTGTGATATAGTAACAAAGTCATAGAAATTCTAACTTATTTATGTATATTTTAATTGCCTATAACCAGGTTATCCTTTTCATTTGCATTATACCTTTAATTTTACGGGATAGGTGACCAATTAAAATTAAAAAACAGAATTGAAAGATTGAATAAATTTATACCTAGTAAGTGACAAAACTGGGATGTGAACACAGTTCTCATTTTCAGTTATTAACTATGACTAATTCTGATGGCATATTTTTCAATATGACAAGGTGATGTATTTGTGGTTAATACTTCAGTCAGTAGGGAATACAACATATGTGTCCAGGTAGATGTGTGGCACGTTTAGTTTCTTCATGGATAACTCTGCCACACACATTGAAATTTGAGCACAGTAAAGACTTGTGATGATTATTTGTTGTGTCAACTTGGCTAGGCCAAGGAATTCCCAGCTATCTAGTAAAGCACACTATTTCTTTATGTTTCTGTGAGGGTGTTCCTGAAAGGTATTAACAGTTTTATATTCATATATATATGTATATAATTCATATATATGTATATACTCTCCATATATATTTTTATATATCCATATATTTATCCATTTATCCATATATTTTATATATCCATATATTTATATATTTTTATATATTATATATCCATATATTTATAAAAATATAAATATATATTTATATATCTATATATATAACATATGTGATATAAAGATATTTATATAAATATATAATATATTAATATAAATATATATTTATAAAAATATACTATCTTTGTATAAATATATAATATATTAATATAAATATATATTTATATAAATATAATATATTATATATTATATTATATATTATATAATATATACTATATTTATATAAATATAGTATATATAATATATTTTTATATATTTATATAAATATAGTACATATTTATATAGATACATATAAATATATTACATATTTATATAGCTATATTTATATTACATATATTACATATTTATATAGCTATATTTATATTACATATATTACATATTTATATAGCTATATTTATATTACATATATTACATATTTATATAGCTATATTTATATTACATATATTATATATTTATATAGCTGTATGTATATTACATATATATTTATATAGCTGTATGTATATTACATATATTATATATTTATATAGCTGTATGTATATTACATATATTATATATTTATATAGATGTATGTATATTACATATATTATATTTTTATATAGATATATGTATATTACATATATATTTATATAGATATATTTATATGACATATATTATATATTTATATAGATATATTTATATGACATATATTATATATTTATATAGATATATTTATATGACATATATGATATATTTATATAGCTATATTTATATGACATATAAATATAGCTATATTTATATGACATATATTATATATTTATATAGATATATTTATATTACATATATATAAAATCTCAAATATATATTCAATAAGTTCTGTTTCTCTGGAGAACACTAATATCAGAGATTTTAAAATATTAAAATAATAAGCTATTATTTTGAATCTGAATGCAGGCAGCTTTAGTTTAAATGAACCAGTAAAGCCATATTTGTGTGATAATTCTTTGAAGGAATCAATGGTACTTAGAGATTAATTACATATGAAGAATGAGAGATACGTATGAGTTAAATGTAACTCTAAAGGTTTGTAACATGAATGAACAGGTGTATGGCAAAATAGAAATAAAAAAGCAGAATTTTGGAAATACTCAGAAGTCAATTATTAACAAGTTAAGCTAGAATGTATGTAAAACTTTAAGCTAGGAAAATCTAGTGTTCAGTCAGAAGTGAGGTTGGGAGCTGGGAGTTTTGGGGTCTTGAAATACACATTTAAATTTATCAGCATATAAGTAACATTTGAAACCTTGGGCTCCGATACCATTCTTTTGGAAGAAAATATGGAAAGAGAAAACAGGGACAGAAACCACTGAAAACAAACACAAGAAAATTTGACAATTGAGCTAGTCCAATAAACTACATACAAGGGAGACCAAGATGTGATGGATGTGGATGAAGCAAATGAATTATGGAATAAATTGAATTTGGAATTGTCAATATTATCTTATTTTTGAAGTTCAGTTTTATTATACTTTAAGTTTTAGGGTACATGTGCACAATGTGCAGGTTAGTTACATATGTATACATGTGACATGCTGGTGCGCTGCACCTACTAACTCGTCATCTAGCATTAGGTATATCTCCCAATGCTATCCCTCCCCCTCACCCCACCCCACAACAGTCCCCAGAGCGTGATGTTCCCCTTCCTGTGTCCATGGGTTCTCATTGTTCAATTCCCACCTATAAGTGAGAATATGTGGTGTTTGGTTTGTTGTTCTTGCGATAGTTTACTGAGAATGATGATTTCCAATTTCATCCATGACCCTACAAAGGACATGAACTCATCATTTTTATGGCTGCATAGTATTCCATGGTGTATATGTGCCACATTTTCTTAATCCAGTCTATCATTGTTGGACATTTGGGTTGGTTCCAAGTCTTTGCTATTGTGAATAATGCTGCAATAAACATACGTGTGCATGTGTCTTTATAGCAGCATGATTTATAGTCCTTTGGGTATATACCCAGTAATGGGATGGCTAGGTCAAATGGTATTTCTAGCTCTAGATCCCTGAGAAATGGCCATACTGACTTCCACAATGGTTGAACTAGTTTACAGTCCCACCAACAGTGTAAAAGTGTTCCTATTTCTCCACATCCTCTCCAGCACCTGTTGTTTCCTGACTTTTTAATGATTGCCATTCTAACTGGTGTGAGATGGTATCTCATTGTGGTTTTGATTTGCATTTCTCTGATGGCCAGTGATGGTGAGCATTTTTTCATGTGTTTTTTGGCTGCATAAATGTCTTTTTGAGAAGTGTCTGTTCATGTCCTTTGCCCACTTTTTGATGGGCTTGTTTTTTTCTTTTAAATTTGCTTGAGTTAATTGTAGATTGTGGATATTAGCCCTTTGTCAGATGAGTAGGTTGCGAAAATTTTCTCCCATTTTGTAGGTTGCCTGTTCACTCTGATGGTAGTTTCTTTTGCTGTACAGAAGCTCTTTAGTTTAATTAGATCCCATTTGTCAATTTTGGCTTTTGTTGCCATTGCTTTTGGTGTTTTAGACATGAAGTCCTTGCCCATGCCTATGTCCTGAATGGTAATGCCTAGGTTTTCTTCTAGGGTTTTTATGGTTTTAAGTCTAACGTTTAAGTCTTTAATCCATCTTGAATTAATTTTTGTATAAGGTGTAAGGAAGGGATCCAGTTTCAGCTTTCTACATATGGCTAGCCAGTTTTCCCAGCACCATTTATTAAATAGGGAATCCTTTCCCCATTGCTTGTTTTTCTCAGGTTTGTCAAAGATCAGATAGTTGTAGATATGCGGCGTTATTTCTCAGAGCTCTGTTCTGTTCCATTGATGTATATCTCTGTTTTGGTACCAGTACCATGCTGTTTTGGTTACTGTAGCCTTGTAGTATAGTTTGAAGTCAGGTAGTGTGATGCCTCCAGCTTTGCTCTTTTGGCTTAGGATTGACTTGGTGATGCGGGCTCTTTTTTGGTTCCATATGAACTTTAAAGTAGTTTTTTCCAATTCTGTGAAGAAAGTCATTGGTAGCTTGATGGGGATACCATTGAGTCTGTAGATTACCTTGGGCAGTATGGCCATTTTCACGATATTGATTATTCCTACCCATGAGCATGGAATGTTCTTCCATTTGTTTGTATCCTCTTTTATTTCATTGAGCAGTGGTTTGTAGTTCTCCTTGAAGAGGTCCTTCACATCCCTTGTAAGTTGGATTCCGAGGTATTTTATTCTCTTTGAAGCAATTGTGAATGGGAGTTCACTCATGATTTGGCTCTCTGTTTGTCTGTTTTTGGTGTATAAGAATGCTTGTGATTTTTGCACATTGATTTTGTGTCCTGAGACTTTGCTGAAGTTGCTTATCAGCTTAAGGAGATTTTGGGCTGAAACAATGGGGTTTTCTAGATATACAATCATGTCATCATCTGCAAACAGGGACAATTTGACTTCCTCTTTTCCTAACTGAATACCCTTTTTTTCCTTCTGCCTAATTGCCCTGGCCAGAACTTCCAACACTATGTTGAATAGGAGTGGTGAGAGAGGGCATCCCTGTCTTCTGCCAGTTTTCAAAGAGAATGCTTCCAGTTTTTGCCCATTCAGTATGATATTGGCTGTGGGTTTGTCATAGATAGCTCTTATTATTTTGAAATACGTCCCATCAATACCTAATTTATTGAGAGTTTTTAGCATAAAGGGTTGTTGAATTTTGTCAAAGGCCTTTTCTGCATCTATTGAGATAATCATGTGGTTTTTGTCATTGGTTCTGTTTATATGCTGGATTACATTTATTGATTTGCGTATATTGAACCAGCCTTGCATCCCAGGGATGAAGCCCACTTGATCGTGGTGGATAAGCTTTTTGATGTGCTGCTGCATTTGGTTTGCCAGTATTTTATTGAGGATATTTGCATCAATGTTCATCAAGGATATTGATCTAAAATTCTCTTTTTTGATTGTGTCTCTGCCCGGCTTTGGTATCAGGATGATGCTGGCCTCATAAAATGAGTTAGGGAAGATTCCCTCTTTTTCTATTGATTGGAATAGTTTCAGAAGGAATGGTACCAGTTCCTCCTTGTACCTCTGGTAGAATTCGGCTGTGAATCCATCTGGTCCTGGACTCTTTTTGGTTGGTAAGCTATTGATTATTGCCACAATTTCAGATCCTGTTATTGGTCTATTCAGAGATTCAACTTCTTCCTGGTTTAGTCTTGGGAGAGTATGTGTCGAGGAATTTATCCATTTCTTCTAGATTTTCTAGTTTATTTGCGTAGAGGTGTTTGTAGTATTCTCTGATGGTAGTTTGTATTTCTGTGGGATTGGTGGTGATATCCCCTTTATCATTTTTTATTGCATCTATTTGATTCTTCTCTCTTTTTTTCTTTATTAGTCTTGCTAGCGGTCTATCAATTTTGTTGATCCTTTCAAAAAACCAGCTCCTGGATTCATTAATTTTTTGAAGGGTTTTTTGTGTCTCTATTTCCTTCAGTTCTGCTCTGATTTTAGTTATTTCTTGCCTTCTGCTAGCTTTTGAATGTGTTTGCTCTTGCTTTTCTAGTTCTTATAATTGTGATGTTAGGGTGTCAATTTTGGATCTTTCCTGCTTTCTCTTGTGGGCATTTAGTGCTATAAATTTCCCTCTACACACTGCTTTGAATGTGTCCCAGAGATTCTTGTATGTTGTGTCTTTGTTCTTGTTGGTTTCAAAGAACATCTCTATTTCTGCCTTCATTTCGTTATGTACCCAGTAGTCATTCAGGAGCAGGTTGTTCAGTTTCCACGTAGTTGAGTGGTTTTGAGTGAGATTCTTAATCCTAAGTTCTAGTTTGATTGCACTGTGGTCTGAGAGATAGTTTGTTATAATTTCTGTTCTTTTACGTTTGCTGAGGAGAGCTTTACTTCCAAGTATGTGGTCAATTTTGGAATAGGTGTGGTGTGGTGCTGAAAAAAATGCATATTCTGTTGATTTGGGGTGGAGAGTTCTGTAGATGTCTATTAGGTCCGCTTGGTGCAGAGCTGAGTTCAATTCCTGGGTATCCTTGTTGACTTTCTGTCTGGTTGATCTGTCTAATGTTGACAGTGGGGTGTTAAAGTCTCCCATTATTAATGTGTGGGAGTCTAAGTCTCTTTGTAGGTCACTCAGGACTTGCTTTATGAATCTGGGTGCTCCTGTATTGGGTGCATATATATTTAGGATAGTTAGCTCTTCTTGTTGAATTGATCCCTTTACCATTATGTAATGGCCTTCTTTGTCTCTTTTGATCTTTGTTGGTTTAAAGTCTGTTTTATCAGAGACTGGGATTGCAACCCCTGCCTTTTTTTGTTTTCCATTTGCTTGGTAGATCTTCCTCCATCCCTTTATTTTGAGCCTATGTGTGTCTCTGCACATGAGATGGGTTTCCTGAATACAGCACACTGATGGGTCTTAACTCTTTATCCAATTGGCCAGTCTGTGTCTTTTAATTGGAGCATTTAGTCCATTTACATTTAAAGTTAATATTGTTATGTGTGAATTTGATCCTGTCATTATGTTAGCTGGTTATTTTGCTCGTTAGTTGATGTTGATGCAGTTTCTTCCTAGTCTCGATGGTCTTTACATTTTGGCATGGTTTTGCAGCGGCTGGTAACGGTTGTTCCTTACCATGTTTAGCGCTTCCTTCAGGAGCTCTTTTAGGGCAGGCCTGGTGGTGACAAAATCTGTCAGCATTTGCTTGTCTGTAAAGGATTTTATTTCTCCTTCACTTATGAAGCTTAGTTTGGCTGGATATGAAATTCTGGGTTGAAAATTCTTTTCTTTAAGAACGTTGAATATTGGCCCCCACTCTCTTCTGGCTTGTAGAGTTTCTCCCGAGAGATCCACTGTTAGTCTGATGGGCTTCCCTTTGAGGGTAACCCGACCTTTGTCTCTGGCTGCCCTTAACATTTTTTCCTTCATTTCAACTTTGGTGAATCTGACAATTATGTGTCTTGGAGTTGCTCTTCTCGAGGAGTATCTTTGTGGCATTCTCTGTATTTTCTGAATCTGAATGTTGGCCTGCCTTGCTAGATTGGGGAAGTTCTCCTGGATAATATCCTGCAGAGTGTTTTCCACCTTGGTTCCATTCTCCCCGTCACTTTCAGGTACACCAATCAGACGTAGATTTGGTCTTTTCACATAGTCCCATATTTCTTGGAGGCTTTGCTCATTTCTTTTTATTCTTTTTTCTCTAAACTTCCCTTCTCGCTTCATTTCATTCATTTCATCTTCCATCACTGATACCCTTTCTTCCAGTTGATCACATCGGCTCCTGAGGCTTCTGCATTCTTCACGTAGTTCTCGAGCCTTGGTTTTCAGCTCCATCAGCTCCTTTAAGCACTTCTCTGTATTGGTTATTCTAGTTATACATTCTTCTAAATTCTTTTCAAAGTTTTCAACTTCTTTGCCTTTGGTTTGAATGTCCTCCCATATCTTGGAGTAATTTGATTGTCTGAAGCCTCCTTCTCTCAGTTCGTCAAAGTCATTCTCCATCCAGCTTTGTTCCGTTGCTGGTGAGGAACTGTGTTCCTTTGGAGGAGGAGAGGTGCTCTGCTTTTTAGAGTTTCCAGTTTTTCTGCTCTGTTTTTTCCCCATCTTTGTGGTTTTATCTACTTTTGGTCTTTGATGATGGTGATGTACAGATGGGATTTTGTGTGGATGTCCTTTCTGTTTGTTAGTTTTCCTTCTAACAGACAGGACCCTCAGCTGCAGGTCTGTTGGAGTACCCGGCCATGTGAAGTGTCAGTCTGCCCCTGCTGGGGGGTGCCTCCCAGTTAGGCTGCTTAGGGGTCAGGGGTCAGGGACCCACTTGAGGAGGCAATCTGCCCATTCTCAGATCTCTGGCTGCATGCTGGGAGAACCACTGCTCTCTTCAAAGCTGTCAGACAGGGACATTTAAGTCTGCAGAGGTTACTGCTGTCTTTTTGTTTGTCTGTGCCCTGCCCCCAGAGGTGGAGCCTACAGAGGTAGGCAGGCCTCCTTGAGCTGTGTTGGGCTCCACCCAGTTCTAGCTTCCCGGCTGCTTTGTTTACCTAAGCAAGCCTGGGAAATGGCGGGCACCCCTCCCCCAGCCTCGCTGCTGCCTTGCAGTTTGATCTCAGACTGCTGTGCTAGCAATCAGCGAGACTCCGTGGGCGTAGGACCCTCCGAGCCAGGTGCGGGATATAATCTCCTGGTGCGCCGTTTTTTAAGCCCGTCAGAAAAGTGCAGTATTCGGGTGGGAGTGACCCGATTTTCCAGGTGCCGTCTGTCACCCCTTTCTTTGACTAGGAAAGGGAACTCCCTGACCCCTTGTGCTTCCCGAGTGAGGCAATGCCTCGCCGTGCTTTGGCTCTTGCACGGTGCACACACCCACTGACCTGCGCCCACTGTCTGGCACTCCCTAGTAAGATGAACCCAGTACCTCAGATGGAAATGCAGAAATCACCCCTCTTCTGTGTCGCTCATGCTAGGAGCTGTAGACTGGAGCTGTTCCTATTTGGCCATCTTGGCTCCTCCCTGAAGTTCAGTTTTAAAGAAAAGGAAGGAGTTTGGACAGTAATTTGGAGATCAATTTTGTATAAACCAAATGATTTCATCATAGTTTTCAGACGTCAGAACAGTTTTGTTTTTTTGTGTGTGTTTTATAGACTACGTAAACGAGAAAAGTATTTTGAGGAAGGGGTAAATTGGCTTGATTTGATCCTTAATGTTTATTTTAAAAACTGCTTAATATTAATCTACTAGATTGACTATTCATTTATTAAAGTAGTTACTGATGTTGAGAAGATTTTTGAATGATAATCAGAACGGGATAAAAACACATTTTAATGTTTGTATATGACACTTCAGAGATCATATGCTGTTTCTCTAGACATCAGTATCTCAGCTTTGTTACTTTCCAATGCTGTGATATTACACAAGTTTCTTTTTTGTCACTTCTGCCTCTATTAATGATGACGTTGAGTAAAAAGCTCATTTTCATCAGGCATTTACTTGGGCCAGACCCTAGAGCCTAAAGAGCTCCTATGACTTCTCATTTAAACGTTCCAGCAAGCTGATGTGCTAAGTATGACTACAATGGGAGTCCATTTGTAGATAAAGAAATGGTGACTTGCCCAAGTTTATATAACTAATTAGCAGAGGAATGGGGATTTGAATTTCAGGAGTTCACTCTTATTCATTATGTCACACATTTTCTCTAGTAAGAAAAGTAACTTGATAAGTATTGACCTCATAGGATTTTGCTGTTGCTTCAGTGTGATAACGTATGTAAAATATGTAGATTAATGTCAGACAATTTTTAATTTTAAATACATATTTGTATTAATTGGTGTTATAGCTTTTATTATATAATTTTATTTGAATTCATGGATACTCAAGAGTTAATTTTAATTTTTCCTAAACCAATGTGGTTGTAATTTGAAAATCATACTTTTAACAAAGGCCATAATTTCTTTCTGCCTATATTATACATGCACATATACAGATGTATTGCATCCATATATTTTGTTCCCCATATTTTCTATGTTTTTAATGATAATTCAGTTTTTCCATCTGTACACTGTCATATTAAACTTAAATTGAGACAGTTCTTCTGTGTACTGCTTCCTTCATTCTATCTTCATTTGACCTGAAAATCTATTATCAAAAGCTGTACAAATTGAATCATTAGACTGACTTTAACAGCATATTTTAGTTCAATTGCAATATCTCCATTGCCTCTGAAAGCAGTTGAATTGAAAAGAAATCCTGCCTTCATACTTTATGAACATGTAGGTTTCCTGTCAAAGAAATGTGTTATCAACTTACTTCAAAGAGTGAAACCAAACTACCAGAACACATTCATTTCTATCTGCAATCCTCACTTCAGTAGTTTGGCTAAAGTTCTGATTTCCAAAACCCTTCATCAGAATGACCTCCAGTAGAGGTTACTCCATTTCCTCTAGGCAGCGACTGTTCAGTGACACAACCAGAGAAATAACTTTCGATAGCTGTCATCATACATGCAGCAACGATGGGCATTTCCTTTGATATTCTGAAAGTAAAAAACTGTACTGTTTATACACCTGTTTATTCACTTTGGGCTAATATCTGATGAGTTAATAAATTAACTAGTTTTTTAAATTGTTTTTATCTCAGCTTTATCTTTTACTATCTGTTTGACTTTGGATAGAATCCTTAACTCTATGCCTTAATTATCCCTTCAGCAAAATATAACAGGAATAACAAAATAATGCCTTCATCAAGTTCTTATGAGGATTATCTAAGTAAACTTTAACTATTTTTGTTGTTGTTGTTTGTTTGTTAAGAGACAGTGTCTCCCTTTGTTGTTGGGGCTGGAGTGCACTGGCAAGATCATAGCTCACTGAAGCCTTAAACTCCTAGGCTCAAGCAATCCTCCTGCCTCACCCTCCCAAGTAGCTGAAATTACAGGCATAAAACACAACACCCAGATATATATATATAATATATATTATATATTTATAAAATATATATATATTTATATATAATATATATATATATATATATATATATATATATATATTTGATAAAGACAAGGTCTTGCTGTATTGCCCAGGCTGCTTTTTAACTCCTGGGCTCCCAGTCCTCCCACCTCAGCCTCCCAAAGCACTGGGATTACAGGTGTGAGTGACTGCCCTCTGCCAAACTTTAACTCTTTCACCTTTGACATATACGATGTCTGCCTTCATCTCCCCTTACACCCACCAGTTTCTCTCCATTTCTCCCAGTTTCTTTATTGTTTGAGATGACATGTCTTCATATGACTTACAAGGTCTCTGTCTGGAAATGAGGTTCATTGAGATGCACCCTTCTTTTCCTTACTGGAGGTCTTTGGGCTCCAATTATTCTAAAATCCAATTCCCTGGATGCCTTCCTAGTTTATTGAAAAACACTGACTATTAGGGTTGCTGCAGTCTCCTGCAAAATGTGTAAAGAATTC